>NC_000001.11:208033071-208184587 GCF_000001405.40 Homo sapiens
CGTTAGTGGAGATCGGGTCTTGATATGTTGCCCAGGCTGGTCCCATACTCTTGGGCTCAAGGCATCCTTCTGCCTTGGCCTCCCAAAGTGCTGGGATTATGGGCATGAGCCACCAGGTCTGGCTGTACCTGGACTGTCTGAATGGGTCCTCTTGAAGGACACACTCCAGACATCCTTTCTGTGTTGTGGAGGGGCAGGATGTGCTCCTTTAACAAGCACTCCCTGGTCTGGGCAGAGGGGGAGTTACCTTGGTGGCCAGTAGCCGGGTCAGGTAGATCTCGGACACCATCTTGCTGCCCCGGTCACCCTCCTTCTGGTCACCGTGGTCATGGTTCTTCACCAGATGCCACACCTTGACCCCACTTTCCAGGTCTGGGGTGATCATCGGGGCCCGGGACCGCAGGCTGTCGGGGCTGCCCGTATACCTGAAGGAGGAGTCTGAGGAGAAGGGGTTGGTGGAGGGCTGTGAGTAACAGTCACCAGCCTTGCTTGTAGAATCCTTCCAGAATCCCTGCCCGCCTGCTGCATCCACTCAGAATAAACTCATTTCAGCTGAAAGGGGACCGTTGGGACCTCATATATGGTAGGTTATTTTAGGGATCCTTGGTTGGCATGAGGACGGAAGAGCTTGAAGGCTTTTTTAGAAAAGGATTTATAAATTTTGTGAATTAGAGACATCCTTGGGAATTTGGGAGTCCCCTCTACTCTGACACTCCCAGCAATGAATAATTAATAGGTAAAATGTCAATAGGATATTTTCGTCGGTGTTTTAATAGAAATCTGGATACTAAAGAGCTGCAAGTTGTAATTCTCCTCTTGGGAGTTAAGGGTCTCTTCTTGCATGGGGCCTGGGGTATGGGATTTCCTGAGCCCTTTTTGGTGCTGCTGGGTTCAGTCCTGTGGTGCCCTTTGGTTGAGAAGCCCAAGGCCTTAGTGCATACATGAAACCAGAGCAAATAAAATAAGGGACAAGGAGGTGCCATAACCTCATTGCCCGGAGGGCCTGGGGGCCCCAGTACTCCTCGGACTAATTTATTGATCAAACTGGGACACTTCTGAGAGTAAAAGGGGGCACTCTTAATAATTCAGCCAGGACAACAAGCATAAACTGGACTGGCCCAGGCAACCTGGGATATATGAACCCCCAGCCAGGTGCCTTCCTGGTTCTGGGCCACTCCGACTCCTCTACCAGGCTGGGATATCAAACAAAGGGCACATGGTGCCACCTGCTCCCACGGCTCTGAGGGCGCAGGCTGCCTGGGAATGCCTGGACTAGGGAGGACAGAAACCAACTGGCAGGAGCCTGTGATTGGGCCAGCAGCAGCAAGGGCTGCCTGCTGTTAGAAGGGGTAGCGAGTGGGCCCTGCTAGGTCTCAGAAGACTCTGCTCTGAGCTGCCCAGTCTGCCCTCGTGGTTCTCACCGTATCTGCTGATGGACGTCCGGGAGATGCTGGCAGAGGCAGGGATGTTGTAGGAGGAGGTCTGTTTGGGGACCAGAGCCACCACCGACCTGTCTGACACCTGAGAAGGGTACAAAAGGTACAGTACAAAAGGTGAATGTAGGTGTCTTGGGAAGTTGGATAGTCAAGTATTTCTAGAGGGTTATAAGATAGCTGTGGGGTAGAGAGCAAGGAGTACAGGAATACCAGAAACAACCATTACTGCTGTTTTTTGAGCTTTTATTGGGTTAGAGCTGCATAACCCAATCAAATAGCTACTTGCCATGTGTGTGGATTGAGCATTTGAAATGTGGTTAATCCCAACTAAGATGAGCTGTGTCTAAATTGAGATGTGCTATAAATATACATTACATGCTGGATTTCAATGACAGTATGAATACAAATATAAACTATCTTATTGATAATTTTTAAATTGATTACATATTGAAATGATAATCATTTTAGACCAGTTAGATTAAATAAAATATGTAACATTAATTGATCTTTTTATTTTTACCTTTTTAATGTGACTAATACAAAAAGTTTAAATTACACATGTGGCTTGCACATGTGGCTTGCATTAATTTTCTACTGGACAGCACTGGGCCAGACCCATTCTCCCATCCACTTGGCGAGCTATGCACAAGTATTCCCATTTTACAGATGAAAAAAAAAAATGGAATCATAGGGAGGCTAAGCAACCTCTTAAAGGTCACATAATTCATACATGGTAGAGCCAATATTTGTAGCCAGGTATGTCAGGCTCCAGAGCACATGTTCTCTTCATTATATATTCTAACTTGGAATTTTATTTCGAGTCACACTGGTCTGAAGCCCATTTTCCCTTTTGGCTCTGCTTTCTTTCTGACCTGGGTCCTATAATGCCTGGATCACTTCAAATAGTTTCATCAAAAGGGCAGCCACTCTTGGGGACTGAGCGAGAAAGATGGTGTCTTGTCCCATCCTCTATGAGGGTACCCCAGCTCAGCACCCAGCCTGCAGGAGAGGGCGGATAAGTGAGGAGCCATACTGAAGACATTTGGGGCCATTTTGATTTAAGATTGCCCTCCATCCAGTAAAAACAGAGAATCCCCAGAATCGTGGTGATCCAATTAAACCCCTAACGCAGAGGGAATAAAACAGCTATAATAATGTTATGGGCCATAAAACATTCCTATTAAACCATTTTTTATTTTAACAATTTTTATGAACTTTATAAGTTTGATTTATAGCTGCACCAGTCATAAAACCATCTTTCTGGGTCTTAAATTGTCAGTCCCTCTCTCCCACCAAAAAAGAATTAAATGTGGGGAAGTCAAACTATAAATGAACATTAGTGCTAACGAGATTCCCTGATAGCAGGTTTTAGTGGTGGTGTTTAATTTTACCCTCCCTATAAATCTGCAGAAGCCTGGGAAGTTTTTTAACATCTCTTTGTTAATTAAGATTATGCAGATTTTCTTCTGCAAGGGCTCCAAGGACCTTTGACTCCAGAGAGGGTAACAAGAGGGCAGTGCATTGACTTGATGGTATAAAGCTCCAAGGTCCTGTGCCTGGAAGGTGCCAAGGCTCCATTACTTCCCAGCTAGACCAGCTCCCTGGACTTGTCAGCTGTTGGTACCATCAGCACTAGGACTGGGAGGGGGGCAGTCTCTACCTCCGTCTTTCAGGAATTCTCCTTACAACTGACAGCCCAGAAATGATACCTGGAAAGCTTGGCAGGGGCAGGAGTTCACACTCCCAGGGAGAACAGATTACATTATCATTTATAGTTTCTTGTCACCTAATGAAAGATTCACAAGGTGACTCAAATGACCACAGTTCAACTTGATTGCAGGTCTAGTCACTAAACCGCTCCTGTCCTTGGTTTTTCTCTGTCTTAACCAACAGGTGGTGCAAGTCCATGGTCAAGATGCCTGGCTGGGTCTGACCTTGACTCTGCTGCTTACCCGCTCCAGGACTTAACCTCTCTGAGCCTTACCGGTCAGTGGGGATAATAATTGCATGTAGTTTGTGGTGAGAATTAAAGAAGTTAAAACACGGAAAGGCTGCGAGCAGTGCCTGGGATCCAGTGAGCACGCAGTAAGTGTTGGTATTAGCGTTGCTATTATGAGCATCATCATCATCATCATCACAGTCTCCCAAAGGGAAGAATACTCCCTGCTGTCCCCTGTCACTCAGGGCTAGCATGTGGGAAGTGACTTGCACTCAGTAAAACTCAGTAAATATTTGAGGACTGAATGCATACATGAATGATAAATGACATCAGGGAATTGAAAGTGCTTTGTATGATCAGCACCATGAGAACAAAATAGTCCCTTCTTCTGATTGGGAGCCGTAGGCTGGAAAGCCCAGTAACAAGCATTAGAGTATCAGAGACAGAAGCAGAAAGACCCCACTCCTGCCCTTTAGAAACTCATGATTTGGGGGCATCATGCTATTTTCTTTTGTACTTTCTTATTCAGCTTTAATTGGTTCATTACAATTGTTCTACTGGATACATTAAGCACCATATGAAATGGTGGTGTTTGGGCATGTGTGTATGTGTACAGAATTAACAGGGAGTGATGACAGCTACCTTATCTGTAAGTACAATCCTGGGCACCTCACACTTTCGCAAGTCAGGGTTGTTATCTCCATTTTACAGATGAGGAGCCCAAGGTGCAGAGAGATTAAAGTCACACCACCAAGGAGTGGGGAAGCAGGGCTTGAATACAGCTTCTAAAGCCTCTTCTCTTCCCATTACACCACACTCATGTCCTCTGGGCAGGGGTCTAGGCAGGGTGTCAGGATGGGAGGTGCAGGCGAGTCAGGGGGATGGAGCCTGGAGAAGAGCATTTTTGGGGACCCCTGTGCCACAGCTTCCTCTGTGCCCATGGAGGCTCCTGCCAGCTCCAGCGCCTGGTGGTTGGCAGCTCAGTGCCTGAGAGCCCAGCCTGCCAGCCCCTCTACAGATCCTTCTTTCCGAGACAGGGACATGGGAGGATGTTATTAATCAGACGATCCCACGGGTCTTGCAGCCTGAGGCGCTTCCTCTAGTTGGTTTAATTTCCCTTGGTGTCTCTTATTTCCAGTTTCTATTTTAGTATTTTTTCTGAATCCCAACCTGTCTACCTGTGCTTAATCTTACAGAGACCCCCAGCTGCGAGTGGTTACCATGGGAGGGGAGAAGAGGCGGGAGTAGATACCTCCTTGATCTTGTGTTCTTTTGCTGGGATTTTTCTTTTTTTTTTTTGACTGCTCATTCAATGTGTCTGCCAGTGTGCTAAACACCTCACCTTCTATCTTGAATCTATTCTATACAACTGTACGGAGCAGGGTTCACCAGGAGCCCCATTTTACACATGAGAGACAAGAAAGCCTGAGTAATTTTCCCAAGGACACCAGCTACTAAGAGGAAGAATGTAAGACCTGAAGAGAAGTCTATTCAATTCCCTGCTCCACTGTAAGTCAGAGGTGTGGGCTGTGTTAGTAAGATGCTAAAGAGAGAAAGTGCCAGGTACCTTAAGGTAGTTGTCCATGTGGAGGGCTTTGCAATATGCATTTGATTTTTGTTGTTGTTGTTGTTTTGTTTTGTTTTTTTGCAAATGTAGAGGTACACAGAATAGAAATGCCTAGGCCTTACCCCAGACCTGTTAAATCTGTTTCTGAGGGTGGAGTTTGGTCACTCACGTTTTTTATCAGTTCCCTCAGTAATTCCAATGGGCAGCCATGGCTAAGAATCCCTGTTCTATGCTCCAGCAGGAGGAGGAAAGCAGGGAGAGGAAAATCCTTTTTAGACTTTTGAGGCCTTAGAGCAAGGCTTAGCGGGAAGGGAACATTCTGGGAAGCTGAAGAGGGGAAAAGACACCCCCTCTCACCTGATAATGCATCAGTGTGTTGAGCCGCTTCCAGTCACCCTCAATCTTGGTGGTGATGTCCTCATCTTGCAGCACGACCCGGGCGATCCGGCCTTGGCGCCACTCTGGGTGGAGGGGGTGGTGCAGGGAGCGGCGTGAGAGGGATGAGGGCTGTGAGCCAGTGTCTCCCGATTGCACCTTCTCTAGGGACCTGGCAACCCGGCCCCCTCAAGCTGGTACCAATAACAGAGGCTAGAGACATCTAGGGCTCCATGGGCCCAGGCAGCAGAGGAAACACGTAGACCTCCCCAGAGACAGCCACATCTGAACAGGCAGCGCTCAAAGCGGGAAGCATTTCACACGGGCCTCAGCTGGCCAGGACACAGTCATGCCCCTGCAAGGGTTGTGTGCATGGCAGCTTCCCTTCCTTCACCTCTCAACCCCTGCCCTCACACTCTGAGTCCAGGTTTCCTACCCAAGTCCATGTCCACTGCCCTCGGCCGCTGGGAATAGGGCACATTCTTATACACGGCATCAAGAATCTTCTCCTTGACCTGTGTGATGGTGTCACAGTTTAACACCTTCACTGGGATCTCTGGACTGTTCTCGTTGTCAGGGTTGACGCAGTTCAGGATCTACAAGTAGGGGACAGAGGGTGAGCAGGACAGGAGTTGAAGGAGTAGTTTGAGGGAGAGGGTCAGGACCTCAGAATCTTCTTTTTCCAAAGTTCACCCTCCTTATAGGGGAAATAAGGGTACTTTTCTGGTCTGTGACTCAGTTTCCCTCACCTTCATAACATCTGCCAAATGAGAGTCTGAGTCATTGTGTCCAATTCTTCTTTCTCAAAGCACCAGGACTCTACTTTCTAGCTCCTGGACAGCTTAGGGGAGACTATAGTCCTGGAATGAGGCACCCTCAGTGTTTAGAGATGGCTCTACATGTATCAGAGACTAGTCATGCACTTCCCCAAAGCCTCTATGTTAGGAACCAACATACATCTTTCTCATAATACCAATTACCCAATAACTAATGATGGGTGAACTTTTTTCTCCCCCAATATTATCTAGGATAAACCGAGGCATAGAGTGCTTGGGATGGGTGGGCGGGCCTGCCACCTTGCTCTTGGTACACTTAGTTGTCCTTTGGGCTCACCCCAGACCAGCCTCCCATCCTCTTTATTGACCCCCTAGACTGCTTTTATGGACAGAAGGCAGAGCAAGGGGCAGAAGTAGAAGATACACAGGCGGGCCCGGAGCTTCCGGCTTCCTCACCAGGGTCTTGTACTCGATCTGCTGCCGGATGAGCTTGTCCTCGCTCAGGGAGTAGCGGGCCTCGCCCGTGATGGCATCAATGGGGCCCTTCTCCATCTGCTGCTTGATGGCACAGTATAGCATGAAGAGTGGCTCCCCTGCGCACTCCTGTGGGCACAGACAGGGCAGGAGGTGTGGGCACGGCCTCCTCAGGTTTGTACGTTTTCCCTTTCCTCTCTCGGAGCGAGGCCAGTGGAAGGAAGGGCTTTAGCACAGCCAGTCCAGGTTCCTGCTCCCGAGGGAGGGGGTCCCCATGCAGCCCTGTGGCCAGGATCTAAGCAGCAGTGCCATCCTGCCCTGGACGCTAGGCCCCGTCTCACTCCCTTTCTCACCTTTAGGAACTTGTGCAGGAGGAAGGCGAACCAATTGGTCAGCATCTTTTCAGCCACAGACTCTGTCCTGGGGAAGGGACAAAGGGTAAGGGGCAGTCCTTCACAGAGGGGTCTCCGTGGTGGGGCCTGGGCTTGCCATGAGGTCTCCCAAGAGAACAATGGAGCATGGGAGAACGCAGGGCGGGAGTCAGGACACCTGGGTCCCAGCCCAGCTCACCCAGTAACTAGACTGTGACCTGGGGGTAGGGGTGGCTTCTTTCTGGGCCTCAATTTCCTATGAAAATGGAGAGGTTGGCCTTTTCAGCCCTGATGGTCCGTGGTGCTCTGAACTTTGGCTGCATCTGAGACAGGGTCTGTGGATAAAGGCACCTCACTATCCCACAGGGCTATAAAGAACCGGTTCTCCCAACTCACTTCTGGCCTCAGGGTGATAACTAGAGAGTTTCCCAGTCCCTCTGGGCTTTCTTGCATGTGTGAGTACCCTGTTTTGCCTATCTGGAAGGTGCCTGGTCCCTTCCCCTCCAAAAACACTCAAGGTTAGACTTCCTTGGGTTCAAATCCTGATTCTGCCATACGTTGGCTGTGTGACCTTGGGCAAGTCATTTAACCTCTCTGGTTTCAGTATTCCTATCACTAAATGGAGACAGTCATAATAACATCCAACCCCAGTGGTTGTTGTCAGGGTTGAATGAGTTAATATTTGTAAAGTGCTAAGAAAAGTGCCTGGCACCTGCTAAGCACTATCCATTAGCTGTCATTATTGCTGTCATGTGGGGTCTTGGATCCCAGCCCTCAGGTAGAGAGCAGTGCTTAAGTGTTTTGCCAACAGGGGATTTGCTCATGCAAGGGCTGGCCCCCCTCCCCTTCCCATCCCAGGGCTACAGATCTGGGGATTTGGGAAGGAACAAAGCGGCTGTGACAGACCCTCAGTGAAGGGGATGCCGGAGGGGTATTTTAACTCCCTGCACGTGGTGCAAATTATATCCTCTGGTTGCAGTAAATCCCAGGCATTTGCCAGGGCTGCTCAGCAATCTGGGCCTGGGAGAGAGTGACAATGGCAGAAAAAATTGTAGCTTTCTCCCGTGGCTCCTCCCAGCACCCTCTCCCTGCATTGTGCTTGAGATTAGCTCTAATTTAAATACAACAGTTCTTAATGAGAGTTTCTAATGCTCAGATTGGCAGGATGGGGGCTCAGTACTCATAAAGCAAAGCCATTCTTCCTCCCTCCTCACCCCACGTGGGGCCTGGAAGCCTGAGACCTTGCTAGAGGAAGGCTAAAGAGGAGGGGTGGTGAACGGAGGTGCAGCCCTCCAGCCCCTGCTGCCCAGAGGACTCCAAAGCTGTGCCCGGCTCCCCACGGCCTCTAGAGAGGGTGGGCTCAGGGGATACTGAGGTCTCCAACCCTCTCCCCTGCCAGGAAAAATGCAGTGGGCATGTGTAGTGGATGCTGTGATTCAGATCCAGGAAGCTGAGCTCAGAAGGCACGGCCTTCTAGGCTGTCCAAATCCCTAGCTCAGTGCTGCGCAATAGAACCTTCTGCGATAATGGGAATGTTCTCTATCTGTGCGGTCCCGTATGGTGGCCACTAGCTGCAATGTGGCAACCAAGCACTTAGAAAGCGGCTAGGTGCTAGGGCAATGGAGGAGCTGGATTTTACATTCTATTTCATTTTAATTTGTAGCAGCTACCTGTGGCTAGGGGCCGCTGTGCCGGACAGCACAGCTCTAGAGGCACCGGGAGGAAGAGACTGTGAGATAGGAATTATTTTTCTCATTTTGTCTAGGAGGAAACTAAACAACAGAGTGGTTACAACACTGGCCAGAAATCACAGAGCTAGCAGGAGGCAGAGCTGGGACTCCAGCTGAGATCCGAGCAAGGGTCTGAGCTCATCCATCACACCTGGGTGACTTCAGACTCTGTAGTCTCCCTGGGCTGAGGGAAAGTCAGATTCTGCCCTGCAGAGACGTGAGGACACAGGCTGCTCTGAATGGGTGCCCCTTCTGGGGAGTGGGCCTTCTCATGCTGCTTGTGGGGCCTGCTATAATGAGGTGCTCTGTCCAGGTTCAGACTCCTGCCACCCTCTCCACCCACTGCTGCGGGCCAGACCTCCGGAGTAGCAGCTTGGGGTGGTTCTTGTTCTCCAGGTTCTTATCGATGAGGTCAGAGAGCAGCTGCTTGAGGACATCAGTGGCATATTCCAGGCGGCCCTGCAGGCCGGTCATGATGAGCGAAGCCACGTTGCCCCGGTCGCGCATGGAGAAACTGCGCTGCAGCTCCAGGGTGCGGATGAAGGTCAGCAGGAACACCTTGTTGTTGATGAGCTGGGCAAAGAGCTTCAGGGCCTTCTCCACGTGCTGCTGCCCGTTTCCTTGTACCTGGGGTGGGGTGTGGTGGAGGCGACGCCCTCAGAGGACAGGCATCGGGCCTCCTACCTGAGGGTCTCACTGAGGGCCTGCTGGCGATGACACTAGCTGTAGGACCCTATGTTTGAGGCCTATAACCAACCCCACCCCATTCCACTCACCCGTGATGATGTAGGAACAGCTGGCTCTAAGGTCGACAGTCTGCTCTGACCTTGCACTGGGCCGGGGAGGCTGGGCTCCATGCGGAGCTCTCAGAGGGGAGGCTGCCTGATTTTCCCAAGGATAGAATAGGAGATGCCCCCTCAAACTTCTTCAGTTTACTAGTCTCCCCTTAATCTCCTCTGCCTGATTTATTATCTTTAGTAAAACAAACCAACAAATGAACAAACAAACCTCATAGAATCCTGTGTCTTTCTTTAAGCCATCTTAAATCCATTTTAGAATGAGGCAGGATCTTAGTTAATTAGTTCAGTCATTAATTAAAAAATGACAAACAATGAGCTTTACCCTGGAACCATCCCAAGGAGCCTGGGTGCCCCCTCAGCCGTAACCTTCCTGATAGCTCTGTTGCTGAGATGCTGTTACAAACTACTGACCCCTCTTCCCTGCTAACCTTACTCAGTACTGCTGAGTCTCATCTGGATTTCCTAGGATACCCTGGGCCTGCATCCCTGCTGGGTGGCTGGGCCCAGGAGGCAGGCATTACCTCCAGCTCCCGCAGGACGGGGTGGTCCTCGATGCCCGGGAACAGGACTCGCATAGCGTAGGTACGATAGTCCAGGTAAGGGATTCCTGAGCGGTCCAGGTCACTGGTCAACTCATTGATATCCGTCTGGAGCTCAGCAAAAGCTATGAGAATAAGCAGACGGAGAGGCTCGTGGGGAAGCCCCAGTCGGGGGAGGAGAAAGAGGGAGAAGAAGTTTGCAAAGGACGAGGGGAGGACCTTTTGTAGAGACTCTGAGGATTACGGGAGTGTGTCTCCAGAGGGCGGGGCTACTCCCAGCTGTTTTTAGGTGGTGGGGAAATGGGTGATTTTTATGTTATTTTCTCCTCTATACTTATCTATAATTTCAAATTTTCTCTTTACATATTACAAGTGTAGTTTCAACAAGGAAAAAAAAGTATCATGATTGGGCCGTTTAGTAAAGATCACGGAGATGCTGGAGGCAGGTGAGAGACCATGGCTGAGGGGGTCCAGCAAAGACCAGAACAGGCAAAGTGCTGCCCTTTTCTAATCAAGGTAATAAATCAAGATGCAAAAGCCTAGGGGAGGTCTGGTCATGAGACGCTCAGCTGAGAGCCGAGTTTGGGAAGGCAAGGGCTTCAGAAGCCTCACCTTGGTGGTGGCACACCTGTCTTCCTGGCTCCTTCCTCTGCCAAACTCACCAGCCCTGTTGCCAGGAGGAACCTTGGCTCCACATGTCCTATTTCCCAGCCCAGCTCTTCCCTGTCATCCAGCAGAGGGCTTGTTTCTGATCTTGACATTTGCAGCAAAAGGAGAAATGTTTTCATTCCTAATTGAGCTGTTTACCCAGAGAGCCTGCCAGGTCCTCAGCCTGAGAGGACGCCAGGTACACTCGTCACCTCGAGGCTGTGGTTGCGTGGGACATGGGAGAAAACACAATCTGCACTCCCACACACGTCCACAGCCAAGGACACCAGCAAGTGGCGGCCTTCAGAGCGCTCAGCCTGCAGCACTGATGGAAAACAAACCCTGGGGGAGATGAGGCAGGTGCTTGTCTGCCTTTGCTGCCGCTGCTCCCACGTGCTGCGAAGACAGTGTGCAGAAAAACAAGAGCTGGACACTCCCATGGGGGATCTAGAGTCTGGGGCTGTGGAGCCTGGGGACTCTGACTGTGGGGACATTGAGGCCCTGAGAGGGAGAAAGTGTTTGCCAGATTGTGGGATGGGTCAGGGCAAAGAAGGGACTAGAACAATGCAATTGGACCTGGGTCCTCATGCAGTGGGCATTCTTCATTGGACATCTCTGACCCTATAAGCAAAAGAAGTTCTGGGAAAACAGGGGTGAAAGTGGAATGCAGAGGCATGGCTGGCAGCGATGGGAGTAAAGATAGGAGTTGTCTGCAGGGAGAAGGGCAATAAGGCAGGTGGAGAAAGAGGGACCCAGCAAATGAGGGTGTGCTTCCACTAACCTTCCTTGCACTCCAAGGCCACACGGGACTCCAGATTGTCCATCTGCATTTGCAGCCGCTTGAGAGTGAGGTCATTTTCTCGAGACTTGCGCTTGTAGGCAATGAGGACGATGATGACGATGATGAGGAGGAGGCTGCCGCCGGCCGCGATGCTGACGATGGCTGGCAGGGTCAGCAAGCTGTCTGAGATGACACTCACCGAGCCAGGCGAGAACACCATCCCGCCCACGTGAACCTGTGCATTGTACACATACAGACGCACATGGATGCACACAGGTGTAGAGCCCGGGCATGCCAGCAGATCCTTACAGTGCGAGGAAGGACATGACAGACCACAACCACACAGTGCAGCTCTAGATAAAAAGCAATTTCCTGCCTCGGCATCTGCCTTTCTTTTCTTGTGTTCTCAGCTTATACCCAATTTGATGTAGGACCCAGAGATGAGGAGATATGGAGGGGGTGAGTCAGGCAACGAGACAGAAGAGAGCCTTTCCTTAGGACAGATCACACATGCACCACGAGGCGGGAAGGAGGCATTACAGACGCAGGGCTCACTCACCATGACCTTGTGCTGCCCGGTGAGGTTGGGAGGCTCGCAGAGAAGCTGGGTCTCAGATACGGTGACAGCACAAGGGGTCTCTCCGATGAGCACAGTGTAGTTGAGTTTGGCCCCTCCAGAGGCAGGAGGGCAGAGGTTTTTGCCCTGTAGAGAATAGCAGTCTTTATAGGCATAATTGACACATGCACGCACAAGTTAATTGCCTACTTAAAAAGAGATTAAGGAGACGGGGAAGGGCAGCAGTGCAAAAACCAGGAAATGACTCCTTGGCAAGTTTTTGTGGAGGGGACTTCTAACAGCCATGATCTAGAGAGAAAGAGAGAAAACAGACGCAGGAGAGAATGAAAATGAAGAAGAGAGTGGGAAAAATGCAGAGGAGACAAAACACTAAACAAGAGAAAATTTTGGGGGAGGATGCATGGGATTTCACGAAAGTAGTGGGGCAACAAATCACTTGGATGGACAGTGCCAGGGACTGTGACCTCTGGAAATGTGTGTGTGGGCTCCTGTGGCCACAGAGTGGACAGAAAAGGAAACAGTTACTCCCAACTCACTGCAGTACCTCTGGTTCCCAAAGCTCACAAGAACTAACAGAAATATTCTAAAGTATTTCTTAAGAAGCCTGGGTGCAAGCTATATCGCCTGATGGGTCGATATCTACCCATGAGCTCCTTCTGTAGGAAGGAGACAGCTTTGCAAGTTCAATTGCATAGAAAGGAGAGCCAGAAAGAAAGAAAGTCAGGCCAGGAGCGAGGGGCGCCCTCTGGCATTGCTGCCCCTGGTGGCACTGCCCTCTGGCGGGCACTCCTACCTTCAGAATGATGGGCGATCCTGGCTTTTGATCCAAGACTCCAGTAGGGCTAAGCAGTTCAAAGGTCGGGTTGGGGTAGTAGATAAACTTGGTGTCGTTGTAAATTAGCAAGGATTGGACATTGTTAAAGACAAATCCAAACTCATCTGGGCGTTCCACAGTGTCCAGGCCAGGGCGGTAGTCCGTGGTCAGAGAGGGTGCCAGGCAGGTGAGGGTGGTTGTGTTCACAACTTTACACACCTAAGAGATCCAGAGCGCAGCATTCACACACGGAGTGCCTGGCACAGAGCCCAGGGGCCCACAGCCGCTCTCCCACCCTCTCTCTGCTTTTGTGCCTCGTCACTGGGTTTACTTGCTTGTCTCCATTCCATGGGAAAGCCCTCCAGGAAAGGGCAGTGAAATTTTGGGGGAGTGGGGGGCATTTTAGCTTCTTCATTAATTCATTCACCAACGCTATTTGGGCATCTAGTTTCTAGTTTGTGCTGGCACTGTGCTAGGAGGTGGGGCTATAGAGCGGCAGACACAGTCTGGAGGGAAGACAAAGAAGCATTACAATCTAGTCCTGGAAGAGGGCCTGGGGCATGGGGGGCACACAGCACTGTTGGATGCATGCAGAGATGTGAAAAATAAATGCCCTGGTAGGGAAGTACCAGCTACTCTAGGAGTGTCTGTGTGTGTGCATGAGTGTGTGTGTGTGTGTGTATGTGTGTGTGCATGGCCTGAAGCAGGGTAGGAGTGACTCATGGAAGTTTTCCCATGGAAGAAATGAATGAAATTTAATCTGAAGAATGAGTAGGACTTACCTAGATAAGGAGAGGGAGGGGGAAGGGAACAAGTTCCAAGCAGAGGGAACAGCACCAAAAGGCCTGGGGACAAGGGAGCATGGGATGTTTGAGAAAAAAGTAGGACAGAACAGCATAGTGTGTGTGTGTGTGTGTGTGTGTGTGTGTGTGTGTGTGTGTGTGTAGAGTGTGGAGCAGGAAGTGGTACGAGATGAGCACTTTGCTCAGTATGTAGTAGGTGTTCAGTTAATGTTGATTGAATACTGATGAAAAATAGGATTCTGCAACTCTCTAAATGTTTTTTGTTTTTTTGTTTTTTGAGATGGAGTCTTGTTCTGTTGCCCAGGCTGGAGTGCAGTGGTGCGATCTCAGCTCACTGCAGCCTCCGCCTCCCGGGTTCCAGTGATTCTCCTGCCTCAGCTTCCTGAGTAGTTGGGATTACAGGCACGTGCCACCACGCCCAGCTAATTTTTGTATTTTTAGTAGAGACAGGGTTTCACCATGTTTGCCAGGCTGGTCCTGAACTCCTAACCTCAGGTGATCCGCCCGCTTCGGCCTCCCAAAGTGCTAGGATTACAGGCCTGAGCCACTGGGCCCAGCCTTCTTCAAATGTTTTATGTAGGACCTCTCTCTCTTCTCTAACCAAGTGTCCCCTAACCCTGCACTGGGACAGAAGCTTGGTTTTGACACAGAGTTCATGATATCTTTTTTCTCTTGGAGGTCTCTGGTGCCAACTAAAATCCTGGCTGGGCTGGTCCAGTCCCTCCTTAGCATGAGCTGTGCCATTCTCTCCTGTGGAGGTTTAGTTCTGGGGCTGCCCAAGACAGCAGCCAGACTGCAGAAACCACTAAAGGGCCCACGTGGGGCTTGGGAAGAAAAACCCAGACTCCTACTCCCTCTCTGCCTGGCTCCCACCCAGCACAGCTCAGTTTCAGCTTTGGGAGCAGTGGGGTCCCGGCAACAGCCAGGGCATCTCTGAGAACTCAGACTGCTCAAGTACACACTGTCCTGGCAGGTCCACACATGTTATGCGTCTGGCCAACATACACACACACGAGCTTCATGTTCAGAAAACAAGACTGTGTGTGAAATTGCAAAAAAAGCTGACACTTGCATAGAGATTATGTCAGAGCTTCAAGTCCAAGTCTTAACCCTTCCTTTCCAAAGGGAATTTAAGAGTTTAAACAAAGCGGCTCACTGCGGCCTTTATGCTGTAGTGGGAGGGAGTACACATTCCTGCCCTTTTTGTGGTGCAATTCAGCAGCCCCTTATGAACCTAATGCCCCTTTCATGTTCCAGCAGGGTACAATGAGGCATGGGGAGGTTGAGGGGTGTGGTGAAATGGGTACAGCTGAGCCAGGGGGTCCCAATTCCTGGGTTCTGCAAGAAGACACCGAGCCTTGGTGAGCCTCACCCCAACATCTTCCTCTCTGCTGGTCCCAGTCTAGCTTCCCTAGACCAGGCTCCTCTATGAATAAGCAAATCACTCCCAAGCAAGAGGCCTCTGGACGCTGCCTGCCCCGTGCTGCGTCGGCACTTTTGTTTGCCAAACATTCCTCTGGGTTTGGCGGCTTCACTCTGGCCCTCCTAGCTATCCACTGGGGCAGCTTCAAAACCCAAAGATGAGGGGTAGGCCCAGGTGTGCTGAGGATGAGCTGGGGCCCAACCAGGCAGGGCTTCAGGGGCAAAGTGCCTCTCTCCTACCATTCCTGAAAGCAGAAGCACAGGGCAGGGGTTCTGAGCCTCCCATTCTGGAGCCAGCTGATGGAAATCTACATTCCTGCATCCTTCCCTCTGGGTCTGCCAGCCTGTAGATACCAGGCAGGTCACCACTGAAACTGAGGGCCCCCAGCTCCCCAGAGGGCAGAACTGCTTCTTAAGTCCTTGGAACATTGAGATCATGGTGCATGGGGCTGGAGGAAGCGCTGAGAACATTCCTGCCCAGTACTGTAAATGAGTCCTGGTGAGGGAGCAGGGGGCTTGGGACCTGAGTCTTTGGCCACAGGTGTCAGGTGTGGGGAAGGGGAGGGGCTTCCCAGCCCAGGCTTCTCTTCAATGGCTTCCTGAGGACTAAGGCTGAAGCCTTTGGAGGTCACGTACTCACTCTCCAGAATTTTCTCTGGACTGTATTAATTACGTCTTTTATTTTCTGTATGCTGATGCTTTGACATCTGGGGCCTTGCTGACTGGGGAGGGAATGTCCCTCCCAGGGCAAAATCCTAGAGATAGCAAATAACTTGCCTGTGAGCGTGCCTTTCATATGCACGAACCAATCCAGACCCCACAGCTCAACTGCCCCTTTCCACACTATCCTCATGCCCTCATCATTCTGGGACCAGGCACCAAACATCTAGGGACAGCCCTGGGCCCCAGAGCCTGCTAAAATGACTCAAACTAGCTGATCCTAAACTTGCTTACCCTGCTATGCCTGTTCCTTCCTGCAGAAACCACATAAAGACTCTTGCCACGGTTTCTCCCTCCGCCTCCAGGCAGACCAACCCTGGTGCTTCCCCCTGTGACCCCTGGGGCATGGACTTCCCTCTTCTCTTGGGATTTGATCTATGAGTAGAACAAGTTATACTCTGGCCTTGCCATACCTGAATAACAATAAAACCTATATTTTAAAACATGTACCTAATTTGCTTGCTTTTTTTTTTTTTTTAAATCCTTCCTGGGTGTGAACTTACCATTCTTGTTCCCATACCTCACCCTAGACTCTGGAGTTACCTGGGAGTTTCTGGGGACCCTGAGCTTCAGTCTGGAAATGGAGTGGGGGCCTAGGCTCTTTTACCCATGGATCAAGTTCTACACCTGGCAGAAGGAGGCATGCGCTCACCTAGCCCAAAAAGGAGTGACCATGGTGGATACTGAAGGTGTGGTACAAGTGCTCCCCAACATCTCCAGCAGGATGGTAATGTCAAGCCCACCAGCATTTCATGTGGCCTAGTTACGAAGAGTCTGGATGTTTGGGATCCACCTTGGCCCTTCCACCAGTCACCTGTATGATTGGGGGCAAGTCATTTAACCTTTCTGGACTTAGTTTCCTCTGCTACACAATGAAGGGGTTGCATCAGATGATCCCTGAGACCTTTCTATATCTAACCTTCTAACACTCTGTCATTTTGTGTATCTCTGTGTTTCTTATGGAAGCCTCAAGTACCCTGGAAATGTGTCAGGGGTAAGAGGGGAGACATAACACCATCTTCTCCATCTCCATCTTAGTCTAGTCAAGCCCCTGAAGGTCAAAGCAGTAATGATAGTAATTTCTATGAAAAATAATGGCCATAGTAGCATCTGCTATAATATAATTACAAATACAATCATGTTTCAAAAAATATTGGCTGAAAGAGTGAGATGGAGCCTAGAAAAATGATAAAAAATTGACAACATATCAGACATTCTATCCCTACGATACAGACAACTTTTTAAAAATTATAAAAATTACATGGCTATGCATGGAAGACTAATATAAAATGTCCAAACTTATCATCTTAGCAACCTAGGTGGAGTTATCTGATGCAGTGACTAGCATTTATCAACTGCCAACCTTATGCCAGCCACGGGCTGGCAGGTTATGAAGCTGAGGCAGGTCTGCTTGTCACCATTCATAGCTGAGAGGTGGAGGATCCGGAGGTTAAATGACTTGACCATGCTTGTACAGCTAATAGATGGCAGAACCCTGCTTCCTCTCCAGACATGTCTGAATCTGGAGCCAGAATTTCTCCAACCACTTCCAATATGGGTTTTCACTGGACCTCAAAGTCAACCTGTCATAAAACAGGAGTCCTTTTGTGCTGTATCATAAACTCAGAAGCCAGTACTTTGATACACTCACTATATCACCTTCTGACAAGAAATTGTACTGTCATTATAATATAAAAATCATTGTAGGGCTGAATATGGTGGCCCATGCCTATAATCCCAGCACTTTGGGAGGCCAAGGCGGGAGGATCACTTGAGCCCAGGAGTTTGAGACCAGCCTGGGCAAAAGAGAGAGACCTCATCTCTAAAATAATAATAATAATAAACTAGCCAAGCATGCGCCTGTGGTCCTAGCTACTCAGGAGGTTGAGGCGGGAGGATCTCTTGAGCCCGGGAGGTCAAGGCTGCAGTGAGCTGTGGTTGCACCACTGCACTCCAGCCTAGGTGACAGGGTGAGGCCATGTCTTAAAAAAAAAAAAATTATAAGGTTTAGGTATTTGGACCATGATTCCAGGCTCAGAGTCTTAAGCCAGTTTTCCTCTCCAGTATTCAGAGGCTCCAGTGCCTAACCCAGAGCTCATCCCATTGCAAAACATCAACACAGAGCTGTGTTTACCAAAGGCTGGGGCAGACCAACAGTTACTCACATTGACAGATTCTTTGCCATTGAATTTGACTCGGATCCTTGGCTCCTGAATGACATCCAGGTTGAAGCCTGTGATGGTCAGGGGTGTGTGGCCACTGAAAACAGGCAGAGGCTCGGTTAGGTAAAAAACCCCCTCAAATCTGGCATGGTGAACCTCCACCTTAGGGATCCCTCTCATGAGCCAGACTTGGGCTGCAGGGATCATGCTGGGTGGCTTCCAGGTGCATCCCTCCCACCTTCCACCTCACCTGGCAATGCTCCACTCTGGCTCGATGCGCTGGACCCGAGGGTCATCTATGTACTCAAACTGCAGGTTGCTATCCACATGGGCTCGGTCGACACTCACAGAAACAGGGACCGGGCCAAGGCCATTGGATGATGGGGGTGAGACACACACGATCTCACTCATTGACCTCCTGACAGGGAGACAGCAGGAGGGTTGAGAAGAAAGGCATGGGCAACAAGAGGTGCCCACTGGCTTGACAAGGGGCTTTCCTTGGTCTGCGGGTAAGGCCACAGAAGTGTTCTCTCATCCTTTTATATTCTACAACAATGGAACACATCCCGCATCAGTATAGATCAGTGCCCCAGTGGATTAGGGAGGCAGCAAATTGGAGACGGGGGTTTGAAAATGAGGGGCAGGGATAGGGTTTCATGGGCTTCGGGGAAACTCCTTTTTTCTGGATTTTTCTAGAATGTAACTATTTAGTCAGTGCTTAGAATCTGGTCAGGCAGTCAACAAATATTCACTGAGCACCTACTGTACATAGCAGTGAATGCACAGTCCTTGCCCTTGTGGAATTTACGGTCCAAGGAGATTATCAGGTAGATAATCCTGGGCAAACTGGGTTCTCATCCATGGATTCTTTCCAAATTCTCTACATCTTCAGGGCTAGGGGAGTGCTGGCAAATGGTAGGTGTTCAATTTTTTATGTACAGAGGATTCCCTAAGCATAAGTCTGTGCTTTCTAAGAACTGAGGCTATGCAATCTCCGTGTTTTTCAAGTCACCATAGTGAGGACTCAATGAATGCTTGATCCTAGTGGTGACTGGGGAGCTCCTAGGAGCCTCCTCCATCTGGTGTTCTCATGGCCCTCACTTCTCATTATTTTTAGAAGTATCCAGCCCCTTTGATATACGGGATATAAACTGACAAGTGGCATATATTTCTCACAGTGACCGGTATGGTATTTGGGTCTAGGTGTAGCAAATAACATGGAGGTGATGGGGCAGGCCTATGAATGAACATGCACAGTAACATGTGAACAGCACATGTCCCAGATGTGCAGTCTTCTGGTGGCCCTTCAAGTTTATCTCACCCGTAGAACTCGCAGGTCTGGTTGCCCAGGTAGACTGCCACGCTGCTCCCAGCCCCAAGGTAATGGCCGGTAATGGTCACCATAGTGCCTCCTGACTCGGGACCTCGGATTGGGTTGAGTGACAGCACAGAAGGGTTCTTTGGAAAGAAGCAGAGAAATGACTACAGCTTAGGTTTTCTCCAAAAGGATGGACCATGGTTAGATCTAAGGATGGGAGAGATTGTTTTCATTCTGGGCGTGGTGGTACTTGTCCTGTCCTTTTCAATCCTAAATGCTCTCTCTGCTTACCCCAGAGGTGAGACTCTTTCTAAGAATCATCTCTGGGCATGTCCGGGAAGGCAGAAGAGTCATGTGGGGTGAAATTAATTAACTCCCCAGAGTCTCATGCTCATAACAATGAAGGGAAAGCAGAGGTGACACTGACTAATCTATCAATTCGTTTACAAATTGAGAACAATTTGAAAATGCTTCTCTATCTAGAGCCTTTACTGATTTTTTGGGCACAAAATCGATAGGGCTGAATAAAGCATCCCTGCCTGGGTTGGGCCACCGAGAGGCTAAAGTCCTCCATTAATGGCCCATGCACATGCCCTTCTGTCCTTCCCTGAGCATAAGAAGGGCACAGCAGGGCACCTGGTGCAGAGAGCTGTCAGTAAATGTTAGGATGGCTTCTCAGACCCTCATCAGGAGGATGGCGCATCACTGGCTGGGGCTTTCTACTAAGCTCACTAAGTAGTAAAATTCAGCCTGAAGCTTAAAAGAATTGCTTAACCTAAAATGCATCAGGTGGCTGACCTGAATCAGAAAAGAATTGCTTCTGCCTGGAGGGCAGTGGAGTGGAGTGAATTGGAAAATGCATTTAACTGAGCAACTATACAGGCATGAATTCTAGTTTGCATCAGCCATTCATCCGCTGTGTGTCCTGAGGCAAGTTCTGAGATCATTCTTTACCCCTCTGTCAAGTGAGGAGGGTGGGCTAGGTTATCTCTAAAGCCCCTCTCCGCTCTGACTTGCTCCAGATTGTCAGAGTACTGACATTCTCCCCAGCTAGTTCTCCTGTGTTTGCTTCTCACACAAATGCCCACTGCCCCTGCCCTGGGTAAGAGATGGAGTAGGTTGGCTGCAGATAGGGCAAGGTACTGTCCAGTCTGAGAGAGGAGAGTATAAGAAAAAGGTGGAGATGCCAAGATAAGAAGGCAGAGGCTAGAAAACCTGAAACAATCAGCAAAATGCTTTACAGAAAATAGAATTTTGTGCTCCAAAGATTTTTTAAAACTCTCAGCAAGGCTGGTTTGACCCCATCTGCTAGTGTTAATGCCTTTTAATGAAATATTCGATGTAGCAATGTAGGTGTCAGAAGAGAGACTTCGGGGCCGAAGAAGCCAAGTTACTGATTCAGTATGAATATAGCCCTGGGTGGCTCCAGGGCCCCAGAAGCAAGTTATTGATTCAGTATGAATAGAGTGCCATTACAGAAAGAAAGTCTTTGCAATTTGACTACCTGTTGCCTGCGCATAAAGAGATGTTTTCAGGTGTGACTGTGTGAATGTGTGCGTGTAACCACAGTAGCGAGTTACACATACAGAGTGACTCTGGTGGTCCTGTGCAGATACACATCCCTGCCAGATTTCAGTGACTCTTCTAAACTCCCACTTAAAATATCCTTGGCAGAAAACAAAGCATGCGGATAAATATAGACTTATTTAATTAGGTCCCTCAGGCTATGCATCCTCATTAGGCTAGAATTAGACTAAGATATTACACTGGTGGGACAAGAGGCAGTTCCTCCCCGCCCCCAGTCTAGGATCCACTTTCTAAGAAAGGCTGGATTTTGCCTTATTTAGAACTCTGACCTGTGGCCCTCTGGGACTCCCAAGACTCCACAGCTTTGTTTATCACATGCCCATCTCATCCCGGAAAGACAGGCTCTCAAAACAGCAAGACCAGAAGTTGCCTTATCTGGAGGGTCCTTTTCTCCTCCTTGGTCTGCAAGAAGCCTGGTGGTGGAGGGGAGTGGGGGCTTCCTGGGAGGAGTCTGGAGCATGTGTGTCTCCTCCCTGGGCACCTGCACCTGGCCCTGGACCCAGTACTCACCACGAAGGTGTACTGCTGATGGGACTTCGTCATGAACTCTGGCTTACACTCGCCAATACACAGGCGTACTGGCCCGGAGGTGGTTCCCACGAGGGCATGGCCCATCTCACAGACAATCCTGGGGAGAAAGCAAACCTTCTGGTGAGGGACTGGGCAAGGGCTGGCATCGCTGTTCACTTGCTCTCCCAGTCATGGCAAATGACTCATCACAGTCTTGCAATAATGCCAGACCAAGACTCAGCTTGGTCATCCATCTTGCTGTGTGACCTTGGGTACAGTGCTTTCCCTCTCTGGGCTTTGGTCTCATCTGCACAGTGTGAAGGTTGAACCGGATCATCTCTAAAGCCCTGTGTGCCTCTGATATGCTCTGCTGCCTAATTCTGTGGCCATTTCTGTGGTTCCCCATGCCTAGCGCAGTGCCTGGCATTGGGTAGGGACCCAGAATTTATAGAATAAAGGGAATGTCTAACAGAGATCTCGGGGCAGCAATCTAGCTGACGCTCTCTCCTATGTAACAAGCAGACATTGCTACACTCCCTAAAGGAGTGGGTGAGGGCATGTTTGCCAAGCCGATTCAGTTGTGGTTTGCTTCCTGTAGTGAGTTTTAAAAAGGGGAGAGATAATCTGGTGAGATAGTGAGAGCTCAGAGAAGGAGCTCCCTGCAGAACGGGAGGGGTGGAGTCCTGCCGCAGTAGGCAAAGGGGTGGGAGCTGGACAAGTTCATTAGGCCAGCAGGTGACACTGGCCTCTCACTTCATCAAGGGCTGAGCACACCCGGTGGGAGAGACAGTGACACGGCCCTGAGCGAAAGTCACGTCTCACACTAACGGGAGAGCTGGAGGGAAGAAGTGTGCAGCGCTCTCTCTCGAGCAGCCCAGATCAATACCCCTAGTGATGACTTCCCTGGCGCCTGAGAACAGTTACACAAGCACATTTAGATACTGGTTGCCTTAGCCACGGTACCCTTCTAGAAAGGGTGGGCAGCTGAGGATGGGGAGAGATGAAGGCATCAGGGACTTGGGGAAACTCTTGCCTGGAATGGTCGGGCCTGGGCTGGGTGGGAGAGGGCCCTGACAGCTCAGCTAAAAAGAGCTTGGGAATGGAGGGAAGGATTTTTCCTTTCCTCCCAACATCATTTCGGAGATTCAGAGCAGTCTGGTGCTCCTGGTAGGTTTGCTTAGTGGGGAGTCAGAAAAACAGACCCCATCTCCACTAATCCCCAGCATTATCCTGGCACGGTGGGGAAGATCCGTGTTTAACCGAGCGATGCTTATCTCAACAGCTTCTCTAGGAAGGAAGGTAACTAAACAGAGATTTCATTTCGATGTAATAAAACTTGCATTAAACAAATACGCTGCATGCTCACACACATGGCACGCCACTGATCTCCATCTCCTTCATAACAGTTAATCCCAAATAACTACTTTCACTCCTAGCGAATATTTACTTAACATGCAATAACTGTCTTATTACGTTTTAGCATATTAGATTCAACAAGAAAGTACTGAACGCATATGGAAGAATAGTCTCTCTTCCCTTTCTCTATGAATCAATCAATTAATTATAAACCCAAGGAAACATGATAGTGATGATCAATTAATATTTTACACGTAACTGTCTCCTGAAACCCCATTAGGGGAGCATTCGAGAAGCTCAATTTAAGGTACTGTGTGGTTATCTTCATGCTGCTACCTGCGTGTGGTTAACGACTCTCTCATCCTGTTTCCCGGACCCTGGCAACCCGCTGCTGTTTCAGGTCCCTGACATCCTGCAAACGATGCCCACCATGCTCAAGGAGCTCCAGGGGAGAATCAACTAGCTATTGTGGGCAGTGCTGGGGAAGACAAAGGAAGAGAACAGGAGGGAGTAGGTAAGTTTCTCTCCCTCTCTTCTAATGAGGGTGTGCTTGTTACTCAGTCATCACCCTCGGACACTCTGCTGGAGTGATCTTAGAGAAGAAAAGGAGGAAGAAATCATCACAGGCTTGAAGTTAAGGAAAAAAGAAAAAAGAGAACATGTGAAGGTCACGGGCAGCATGGAAATGTTCTTCCCTGGGCCCTGGGTCTGTGTAGGAAAGGAGAAGGCCTGGAACAGCCCTGGTCAGCTGCCCCTGTGTGGAGCTAATGATGGGCCAGGGCCTCTTGGCACACTGTCTCTTCTAGGACATTTTCCTGCTTGGGGCTCATGTTTCAAAAGAAAAGCAGTATATTCAAGCACCTAGGAGAAGAGTGATGACTGAGAGATGGATGCCACTCAAGTGTGCAAGGAAGGGCACCTGTAGTTGGAAAGGCAGGATGCAGGGGTCCAGGGGCTGCACTGGGGAGAAATCAGAGCTGGCCATAGGTCTCTTTCCTCGGGCATCAGCCGAGCCCCCTTCTCAGCTGTGGAATGAGTGGGCAGAGGGCTGTGGTCAGCAGTGGGTTGTAGAAAAGGGTCTGGGCAGGAAGATCTAAGAACTGGAGAGTCCTAAGAAAATCAGGCAGCATTGCAGACAAACTCTAATCTCCTCAACTCTTCTTCCCTTTCATTCCTGGGACCCAGTGCCTGCAGGCCAGGGTGGAAAGGGCTTGAAAATATTTGTTGCAGGCACTTGTTCTTTGAGTTCAGGAAGATAGGGAGTTAAAGGAAGAAGCTAGGGCAGCTGCAGGGAGTGGAAAGGGTTATATTGAGGAAGGAGTATTATGCCAAAGCAAATTCTAGCCCTTAATAATAATAAGAACTACAGTTTACTGATTCTGCCAGGCACTCTACAAGACAGGATCTCATGCCATCCTCAGGCTCTGCTACAGAGCGGGTCTTATCTCCATTGTACAGACAATGAAACTAAGGCTCAGGGATGCTAAGTGACTTATCTATGGCCACAATTCTGGTAAGTGGCAGAGCCCTGATTCAAATCCAGGTCAGCTCGACTCCAGAGCTCATGCTTCTGACCACTCCCCTCTACTGCCAATAGATTTAATGGGATGCTCTGTATGTCTTTCAAGGAAGGGACAGTATGGATATGGCAGCAATGGTAGAGGTGAGGTTGTTGGCAGGGGTGGTGAGAAAGGCTGAGCTGGGTTCCTCAGGTTCTGAGAGCTAACCACTTGTCCCCTCTACCTTCTTGGTTGTAGACAACCATAGGCAGTGGTGTGTGCACCACCACCTCCTTCAAGCCTTGCAAGTCAGCAAGGTTGGTTGATTTCTTGTGGTTTGATTTCTTGAGGCCTCTTGTCTTCCCTGTCTCCTCCCTGTGTCTCTGGTGGCTCTGGGGTCCCTATGTATTGTTAGGAGACAATCGCTGGAGATGCCTAGATTCTCTCCTTATAAAATGGGAAGTTGGACCAAACAGCCATCCAGCTTTGACATCTGAAGACCTGACTCCTCCTGGTGGCAGGGGGCTTCCGGAGGCACCTTAGTGCCACAGATAATCTTTACAATGGGAGCTGCAGATTCCATGGGGCATACCATTTACTGGTTTGGACATCTAGAGGACCACCAAAGCAAATGTAGAAATCATCTATTCCTAAATACCTGTTTTCCAGATGAGATGTTTGAGAAGCAGGGAGCAAAGTGACTTGCTCAAAGTCACCTGGTTCATCCACAGCTGAGCTAAGGCTTGAGCACCAGTCTCCTGGAATGCAACCCAGTACCCTTGCCCCACACTACACCACCTCCCATAGACTTGCATAGATGGTGCCTCGCTCCCTGGGGCGGAAGCACACACACATCTCACATCCATCCCGCAATGGCTGAGTTCACAGGTACAGCAGATGAGAGGGAAGCAGCCTGAGGATCTAAGGGGAATCTGCTCCATGTGGAGCCCCTGTCCCAGGAGGGGCTGAGCTGCAGCCTCAACATGCATCCCATGGTCCAGGAAACTTCCTGTGACTGAATCATCCAGCCCTCCACAGACCTGTGGGGTGCTGATTGCAGGACTAAGCGGGGCCCTTTAACCGACATTAACCTAATTGCTGAGTGATAGATGGCGCAGCACAAGCATATGGTGAATCATTACCGTGCTGGCGAATCCTGCCCGCGCCCAGGACTCTGCACCGGGTCCTTTTAGCCAAATTCATCTCTCACAGACATCTGTAACGATTGTGCCTGCTGCTCACTGCCCGGGATGGAGGCTTTAATGATGTTAGCAAACTCTGAAACCTCGGGAGTGGTAATGAGCCTGGCACAGCTGGAAACCAGGGCTGCATCCAGCGAGGCATGGGGTGTGCTCTCTGTCTTCTGCCTACCCCATACCTGAAGTGGTGGTTTTCTGGGGCGACCACCAGCCTCTGCAGGAATGCATGGGGATTGTTCCCCTCCCCAGGCTCCTTTCACAGCCTCACGTGCAGCTTCTCTCGACACTTTCTTCCCCGTGGCCCTGGGTGTGGGGTGAGTGCAGTACATTTCCTTTCATAAATAGCACTGAAATTCCTTACATTTGGGCAGCACATTAGGCTAATGAAGGTCACAGAGACTGAACAGCTTGCTAAGGTCTTGGGGCTGGTCAGTAGAGGAGGCAGGTCTAAAACACGGTTTCATTCCAAACCTCATGTGATTCTGAGGGCCAGTTGCCCAGGAATTTGCACTTCTCAGCTAAAAGCCTTACCTCCCACCCTCACCCCATACCCTAGCCCTTTCCTTTGGATTCCTGTGGCATCTCACCAAGTTGGATACAGGTCTGTGTCCAGGGGCCCAAGGGAGGTCCTTGAGGTTGAGGTGGATTTGGGGTCGTGTAACTGAGCACCTTGCCTAGTCTGGCAGGGTGCGGGGCTCTGTAAAGATGGTCTGCCAGGAGGACCTCTGTGGGTGCCCTGGCTCCTGCCACAACAGCTTTCACCTCTTTTTTGGCTCAGAAGCACTATTTGTTTCCTTTCCCTTTTTCCATCTTCCTCATCTCTGTCCTATAGGCCCAGCCAGCCTTTCCTCCAGGACTCATTCCTTGCAGGAATAAGGCTGTCATTGAAGGATCAGACCTGAAGGATCTGAGAGATCAGGCCAGCTCTTTCTTCTCCCTGCTGTGGCTGGCAGGCATCACACAGCCCTCAGAGTCTGGGAATTCACCCCTTTGGACTCTGACCCTTCTCTGGGCCCTGCGAGAATCACGGCCTGTAAGCCTCAGAGCTACACACTGATTCGTGGAATTTCAGACTGCTCCTGTCCAGGAGTCGTGCCCCATCACTGTTATGGAAGGGAAGTAGCCCTGCATTAGGGGTCAGGAGACTCAAGGTCTAATTCTGCCTCAGCCACTTATGCCCTGAATGAACTGGGGAAAGTCATTTCACTTCTCATGAGTCCTTTGCTCTCTCCTGCTTTGCAGAATGATGATAACAATATTTACCTCTCAGAGTCCTTACCAATTAAAAATGAGATAGTGGATGAGAAAGTGCTCTGTTAACTGCAAAGTGCTGATGGAAGATAAAGCGATGTCATTTTTATGGTTGCCACTAAAGGCTGGCTCCGGTGGGGGGGATCAGAGGAAACAACCTGACCTGGCAGAGGGTTAGGATAAGGGAAGGAAGTCCCTGCCCCAAAGTCATGCTCTTGCTCATGCTCCCAGTACCCCCTGCAGAGCTGTGTTCACAGTGGAATCAGAATGGTTTGACCCAACTTCCCTGATAAATCATGCAGAATGATTTGGCTGCTCCCCCGCTTTCTCCTTTGGAGGGGTAGCCTCCCTTTTTCCATCCTCTGACCCCCAGCTTCGTGCCCACCTCCTGCCCACCAACTCCACAGCAGCCACCACTGCCAAATGAACACCCCAAATTGGAACATATGTCACTCCTGGAGCCCCGTTTGCCTGTCCGCAACTACATGCCTATTTTCTAATTTCCAGCTGACATTTCCCTTAGTGAAATAAATGAATTTGCTCCAGCGGAGGCCCTGCTCGGATTAAGCTGCTGTCAGAGCCCCACGCACCAAACAAATTGTTGCCTGCAGCCCACCATACAGGATGCATTCCAATGGGGGCTGACAGGGGAAGGGCTGGGGGAGACCTAGGAGGAAATGCTCAGTCACACTGGCGGGCAGGCAAAGACTGAATGAGGGACGGTCAGGGCCGGAGCCCTGATGCCAGAAGAGTCAGGGAACAGGGAATCAAACAGGATGAGACCCCCTGAGGGTGGAGGTGAGGGAGGAGGGGGCCCTGGGGAGGCTTCTGGGGCAGGTCCATGGGAGGAGAATGTAATGGGAGATCAATCATGGAAAAGGCCCAGGAAGGGAGAGGGGAGAGTCTCCAGTCTCCACTCTGAAGCTCCCATGGGAAAAGGGCTGGCCAGGGCGGACTCACTGCTCAGCGATGATGTATTCCCCTGGGAGGGGCGTGCAGGGCACCCCAGCCACCTGCACATGGTGGGCGATCTCGGAGAAGTCCAGACCCAGGTTCACGCCATGGATGGTCACTCGCGTCCCTCCTTCCGGCGGTCCAGACACCGTCAAAATCTGCAGGAGGGAAATGGGATTAGCAATTTGGTTTGGTCACAGGAACAGAAACAGCAGCACCCTTCCCCCTCCCCCAGGGAGGTTTAAGAACCTCCATAGGTTCTTAAATTCCTCCACCAGGAATTCTGGTGAGTGAGTGCGTTTTGTCCACTTTTTAGCTTATCTCGGATCTTGACATCATGTTCTGTTTTACACTGCTTCCTCGGTTCTTTAAGTCAGTCATTCATTCATCTACTTATTTAAAAAATTATCAGAAAGAATACTAGACTCAAGGCAGAAAACCATGGTTTGAGACATGTCTCTAATTCACTAGTTGCCTGATTGCGATCAGTCACGTAATCTCTCTGAACTTCAGCTTTCTTAGTTGTGAAGGGGGTATAATCATTTCTGCCAACCTCAAAGGGAGTCTGGAAGCACCAAACAGAAGGTGTGCTTGAGAGCACTTTGGAAACCAGAGGGCTTTGTAATTGTGACAGTGTTATTATTGCCCCTGCTGTGTGCTACAGCCTGTTGGGGGTACAATGATGAATATGACAGGAAATTTGGCCTCAAGAAACTTAGAGTCGAGGATGAGATAAAGGCAGTTCATGAATACCACTGATTTGGGGTATACACGGATAAGAGATACAGAGGGAAAGCAGTGGGAGTGTGGGGAGTAGAGACTAGGTGTGGCTGCAGGGGAGAAGATCAAAGATGGAAAGTGCACTTGACACTGTTCTGCAAAAAACATCCTATGACACATGCTAGGACAAAGAAGAAATAACTTTAGGATTTTCCAAATCTTTGCTGGCTTCCTGTTGGCAAGGATTGCTTATTTATTCATTCCTTAATTCAGACCCCAAACACTGGAAACAGAATAGCAGAATCCAGGTCTCTCAAGATGTAATAAAGTTCTATCTGGGAACAGACCAGGCTCTTGGAAAAATGTAGCTCTTTGGGATCCAACAGATCCCAGTGAGTAAGTTCACACTTTGTGGCCAATAGTTATCTGAAGTAGGAAAAATAACTCGAAGTGAACTCAATCCTAGATAGCAGAGGAACACAGAATTTCGTAACTGGAAGGGATCTGAGAGTATCTTATTCTAAGATACTTACTTTTTACAGCAAGACGAATGAGACCCAGAGAAGTCAGGGATATATCCAAAGCTTTGAACAACTTGTATACACAGTTGTAAAAAGGTCCAGTGTTCTTTTTACTACACCATAGGGAGGGCAGGATGGATGAAGGAAGGAGCAAAAAAAAAGGGGACTTGATGAAGATCGAGCGTCCTCTAGAATCTCCCAGAAGAGGATACCTGGGCAGAGCCACAGCCTCTCTGTTTTTGGACACTTCTGGACAGTCTCCCTCTTGACCCTGTATGTGCTGGTGGAGTGTCCGATGGGGTGGGAGGGTCAGCGTACCCTCAGGTGGAGATGATGGATGAGTACAGGTGAGCATGCTGTAGAGTGATCTGGAGACCCTTCTTATCTCCTGGCTTCTCGGCAGGTGCACTGCTCCCTTCCTGTGATGTGGGCACCATGAATTGTGCTGCCAATTCAGCCACCAACCACCAAGTGATAGTGAGCAGAGAAAAGATGCCTCCTTCCCTCACTGCCCAGCTGATATGCTGTTCAGACTCCCGGTCTCTCGGCAAGTTGGCTGCAGAGCCGGGACTTGAACCCAGACCTCCTGCCTGTCTATCCTCCGTAGGCCAAAGATGGTGCTGCCTCCTTCCCTCTGTCCCATCCAGGCCCTGAATGCTCTTATCTGGAGGCTTATTTTATCCAAGTCACCTTGTCTATGGCTCTGACTCCCTTGTCTGAAAATAAAATATCCCCCTTATGAATAAAAATAAACAGCACACATGAAATGAATCAAGGGAGATATAGTCAAGGGGGCTCAGAGGTGTCTCTGTATGCTGGGGGTGAGGGTGGGAGAAGGAAGGACAACTTGGAGAGGAAGGAGCTGGCAGGAGGAACTGACAGCCACTATAGCTCATCTGTCCCTGCACTCTAAAAATATGCAACAATAATCCACCCTGGCTGTTCCAGTCTCCCCTGGCACAGTTTCCTCAGGGACCTGGGACTCCTGGGCTCTGGGAAAAGAACCCTTGTTAATGAGAAATGGAAAGGGCTGCTTCCTTACCTGCTGCAGGAGAGCATCAGCAGGAGACAATTTGCTTTTAGTTCCTGGTTCTCTTTTAATCCACTTGGAATGAGCTTCACCAGCCCCTCCATCCCCTTCCCTAGCCACCTGGATGGCATGAACCCACCTACCCAAAGGAACTGACAAAACCTCTCCTTCCCCTACTTTTATTTCTTAAAAAACATTCTTTTGCTCGCTGCAGTTAATTACAACCTTTCAGAAAAACTGTGAAATGAAATCTTTCTGGAAAGCCTAAAAATATTTCTGTCTTGCAGGTAGCATGTGGGGACCGCATTGTGGATCCTCAGAGGCACTGGCAGGTTCCACGGGGTAGCTTCCTCCTGCTGGTAAATCACTGTAGTGTTTCCCTTCCAACATTCAAGGATCAGTGGCAGACACATGGTCGTGGGCACTGGGGTGCTGTAGGGTCTATTTGTTAGCACAGAGCTGCTCAGAGGCATAATTCAGCTTATATTGTTTAGAGAAGAAGACTTTTTTTGGGTAAATTATTGGCAAGCATTATAATCTTGGCATGAAGATACAAGTGAGATGGGTAGTTCCAGCTAGCAGCTGGGGGAATCCAAGCCGGGAGAATGAGTGTCCTTGTGGGTCATTAAACCAGGTCCACAGGGCTTGGAAAGTGTCTGGGGAGTGTAGGGTCTTTATGGGGGTCTTCTTTCTATGCAGTGTACCATGCTGCCAGCACCCAGGGTAGGTGGCAAGGGAGTTCAGGAGACAACTAAGCAACTATCATGCTCTGGGGCTTACAGGAGACACAGCTTATAGCTTCCTTGCTTAAAGCAAAACTGACGTGTAAAAGCCTGAATTTCCAAAACATAGATGAAGTGGTGATTATTTGATTTGCAAGTGGATTCCCAACGCCTCCATTACTGATGACTTCCAAATCCATAAGGTTGGCGCAGGCCCCTCTCCTGAGCTCCACAGCCATATATCCAATTGCTACTGGGCATCTCCACTTCCCCATGTATCTCCCTCAGGCGCCTCACATTTCACCACGTCTAAAAACGAACTCTTAATTTTTCCTCCTCCCACCCCCAAGCCAATTACCCTCCCAGATCCTCTTTCAAGGTTAATGGACTCACCATGCACCCAGCCAGGAATTCTGTAAGCACCTTCAACTGTTTCTTTCTCCCATCTACCACAAATAATAAAGAAGGTCGCCAGGCCCTATCAGTTCTCACTCCCAGGTGTCTTTTGAGTCCATGTGTTCCAGAGTAGGTGTTCAGGAGGACTCCATCATCTCCTACCCACACTAACCCCAAGGGTTTGCATGTAAATCTACTTTCCAGTAGCTGCCAGGGTGACCTTCATGAACACATACTTGACCAGGTTACTAGTCACTTGCTCTAAAAACCTTCCATGGCTCTGACCATTGCCAAGGCAAAGTCCCTAATTCCTAAGGCTGGCCTGGCAGGTGTGGTCTTTCTGGTTCTGATCCCTTTTACCCCTTCTGCCACACTTTCCATTCAATAGCACATCCTTCATGCCCTGCCCTATCGGTGGTTCCTTTCTACATCACGCTGTTTAAAAATCCCTGAGCCTTTGGACATGTTACCCATTCACCTCCAGCTTAAAAATCAGAGTGGCTCAAGGTGGAGGTCTGTGTGCAGAGTGCAAAGGAACAGAGAGAGGCACCCTGTAGAAGGCAGCTTCTGTAAGCCTTCCAGGCAGCTGAGAATGAGTCTAAGGGCCATGCCATCTCTGTGTTGGGCCCGGGAAGCAAGGACCCTGCATCCTGCCTTCTGTATTTCTTCTTAGGATCAAGGATTCGGAGATGGCCAGGGAGGGGAGGCTTGGTGACAAAGAATTTCTTCTCCAGAGCGGGAGTGAGCAGGATCTTGCAGGACACCACCTTAGACCAGGAAGCTGCAGGGTCCCAATCCCCCGACCCCCACCAGCCCCGCCCAACACACACAGAGACTGTGTCCCCAGGGCTCTCTCTTAAAAGCAGCTTTTGATTGCAGGGCACCCAGGGTTGCATTCCACAAAGTTGGCTCTCCTGGAAGCCAAGTCTGGCCTTTCTACATGGATCTATAGAGGGGCAATTTGGCTGAATCCCCAGCTACTGCTTGCAGGACTTTAAGCAAGTCCTTCTAGATCTGGAAGGAGCTGAGAGGCTGCAGGGGAGGGGAGAGCTTGTCTCCCACAGAGGTGAGGATGAGAGGCTGCGGTGGAGTCATACAGAGTGCCCCAATGACAGAAGGGAAACCAAAGTATGGCCAGCATGTTAGGCAGATCCATGTCTTGGTCAGTTTCAGATAGCTCTATGCTGCTGGCTACAGTCGGATAGGGAAGAAAGACCATCTGATGCTGGGACAGTGTCTGCAGAAGGAAGAGAGTAACCTCTGGAATCAGACAGACCTGAATTTAAATACCAGCTCTGACACCTACAAGTTATGTGACCTTGAATCTCAATATCCTCATTCAAAAACAGATAATAATGCTTGCCTCACAGGGATGATGTGAAGATTAAGTGAGATAACATCTGGAGAGTTCTTAGTATGCTGGTTTAGAGAGTAGGTCTTGATAATTGGTAATCTCCTTCCCTGTGTTTCCCTGCACCTCTGTCTTCCTAGATGACTAAAACATGGGATGTTAGAATTGGCAGGGTTAGAGATGATGGAAGTCTTCCTATCCGTCTGGAAGGGCAGCACATGGATGAGGGAGCGCATCACAGACACTGGGGTGACCCGGGGTACAAAGAGCTGCTCATGGGCCGTTTGGAGAATGCCCGAAGCCTGAGCTTGGGCAGGGAGTAGTGATGCCGCCAGAGCAGGGCCCTGGCTTTGGTGAGTTCTGGGCCCTGCACAGAAGCAGATTCAGAGCGAGACATCATCCTTTCACCCAAAATAAGTTTGGAAGAACACTGGCCCTGTACAAGATGTTCTTTATTCTTTCCTCCCTCCCTTGTGGCCATTTCTTCTTTCCCTGGCTATCAGCCATTCTGGGGTAGGTGCAGCATTCCACAATGAACTCAATTAATGCTTTCAGGGAAGTACTTCTGAATGAGACACCCACACAAACAAATGATTTGACAGTTTGGGGGGTGTATGTGTGTGTGTGTGTGAGTGAGTGTGTGTGTGGTGGGGATGTGGAGAGAGAGGGAAGGGAAGTGAAACCTGTCAAATCAGCAGGGAAGATCTTTGGATACTGACTCATTTCAGCCCCAAGCTTTTCTCCCCATATTATACTGTGGACTAGAAGTCTATCTGAATTCTCCCCATGTGGACCTCAGAAGTGAGAGCTAGAAGGAGGGGATTGGAGAAAGAATATCCTAGAAGCAGCCTGCTGCTGTTGGGTTGGGGCGAAAGGGGTCACTGAGGCTTTCCCCTCTGTGCTGTGCTGGCACTGCCTGTGTGCCCCTCCTCTGCCCGCCCCTCACACTTGGGACCCCCAGAGTCCTGGCCCTGTCCTCTTATGGACTACAGTCTTGTGCTGCATATTGACGTTTTGGTCAATGACGGACCATATATACGACGATGGTTCTTTAAGATCATAATGGAGCTGAAAAATTCCTACCACCTTGTGGCATTGTGGCAGTCATAAGTCATAGGAAAGCCTAGCATATACAATTATGTACAGCACATAATACTTGATAATGATGCTAAATGACTAGGTTATTGGTTTATGTACTCACTATATTTTTTATTGTTATTTTAGAGTGTACTCCTTCTACTTATTTAAAAAAAGCTAACTGGAAAACAGCCTCAGGGAGGACCTTCAGGAGGGATTCCAGAAGAAGGCATTGTCATCATAGGAGACGACAGCTCTATGCATGCTATTGCCCCTGAAGACCTCACAGTGGGACAAGATAAGGAGGTGGAAGACAGTGATATGGATGATCCTGACCCTGGGTAGGCCTAGGCTGATGTGTGTCTTTGTGTCTTAGTCTTTAACAAAACAAATTTAAAAAGTAAAAAAGTGAATTTCAAAAATAGAAAAAATATTATAGAATAAGGATATAAAGAAAGAAAATATTTTTGTACAGCTGTACAATGTATGTGTTTTAAGGTAAGTGTTATTACAAAGAGTCAAAAGGTTAAAAAATTAAGTCTATAAAGTAAAAAGTTATAGTAACTGGCCGGGCGCAGTGGCTCATGCCTGTAATCCCAGCACTTTGGGAGGCCGAGGCAGGCGGATCACCTGAGTTCGGGAGTTTGAGACCAGCCTGAGCAACATGGGGAAACGCTGTCTCTATTAAAAATCCAAAATTAGCCAGGCTTGGTGTTGCATGCCTGTAATCCCAGCTACTCGGGAGGCTGAGGCAGGAGAATCACTTGAAGCCGGGAGACAGAGGTTGCAGTGAGCCGAGATCGCACCATTGCACTCCAGCTTGGGCAACAAGAGTGGAACTCCGTCTCAAAAAAAAAAAAAAAAGTTATAATAACTAAGGTTAATTTATAATTAAAGAAGGAAACAATTTTTTAATGAATTTAGTGTAGCCTAAGTGCATACTGTGTTTATAGTCTATGGTAGTGTACAGTAACGTCCTAGGCCTTCACATTCACTCACCACTCACTGAACTCACCCAGAGCAACTTCCAGTCCTGCAAGCTCCATTCATGGTAAATACCCTATATGGCGTACCATTTTTAATCTTTTATATCATATTTTTACCATCCCATTTTTATGTTTAGATACACAAGTACTTACCATTGTGTTACAATCGCCCATGGTGTTCAGGACCAGTCACATGCAGTACAGGTTTGCAGCCTAGGTGTGTAGTAGGGTACACTGTCTAGGTTTGTGTAAATACATGCCATGATGTTCACACAAGGATGAAATCGTCTAATGACACATTTGTCAGAATGTATCCCCATGGTTAAGCGATGCATGACTGTACATGTGCTCGCTGGGAGAGCTCAAGGGCCCCCACAGCTATAGCTTTATAGGGTGTAAAGCCTCTATGCATTTGACATGCTGTTCCCTGTGCTGGTCAAGCATGTCCACTGACAAATGCCTACCCATCCTCAAGTCTCTACTCAAAAGATGCCTCCTCAGGGAGGCCTCCCTGGACTCCCTTAGTAGATTTACTAGCCCCTTCTTCTACCCTCCCACTTCCTTCTATGAACACCTCCAGGACCACAATTGCCACACTGCATTGTAACTGCTTATTCCCTCAATAAGACGATAACTATCTTGGGACAAGGGACTATCTAGCTTTTCTTAGGAAACTAATCCTTAGCACGCTGCCTGGAACGAGTAACTGTCAATAAATATCCCCAATTCTCTGTTAAAAGGAAATGCTGGTCTCAACCAGACACTAGAACAGACTGTATTCTTTAATGATGACTGGATGAGTGGAGGTACCTAACTGTTGCTTGAGAGTGATGTAGTATTTTAACATCAGGATCATTAAACAGCTCTTCCTGCAATCTCCCTTGCTTTAATTTAAGCCAATTTCTGGTTTGATTCCTCATCGAATGGAGGACTGAACAGCTGCCTCCTCATCAAACATCTTTTAGCTACTGAAGACAGCAATTAAGTCACCCCTGGCCTTTGCTTCTGCAGTCCTTCCAGCCTTTTCACCGAAGATCTTGGTTTCTAAACCCTTTGATCATTTTGGATGCTTTTCTGTGGACTCTCGGATTTCTATGCATCTTTTGAGAGTGTAGTGACCCGCACTCGGGTCGTGCCTTCAGCAAAGGCCTGATTGATTGATGTGCAGTAAGGAGGGCCTGCGAAGATGACTTCCTTTGCTTGTCACACACGCCATTAACCAGGCTGGCCCTGGGCAAAACCCAGTGGAGGATAAACATTTGGTATCTTTCCCATGTTCTTTTGTGTTTTCCTCCCTGGGGTTCTTTCCCCCACTTTAGGCACCTTTCATTCAGCTGTTCCCTCCTCCCTTTCTGTATTTGTATACAGCAAGTACGGAAAGCTGTATTTGCGTCTTAATGGGACTTTTAAGTTGTGTTATTACTTGGCCTTAAGAGCACTGATATCTATTGACTGGTTGTAGAATAAAAAGTGTGTATATCGTTTGCAGGATTCAGAAGGAAAACAAGGGAAACACTTTAGGGTAGAGAGCTCAGGCTAGCAGCCCTAAACCCTGCCCCAGGAGCAGTCAGTGACCACGCCCAGGTATAAAGGTGGCTAGTTTAAGTCCTGGCCATGCACTTCTTGATCTGTACATCTTAAGCCAGGAAGACTAGGTCAGCAGGATGTGGGATTAGGCAGGCATGCCTAGGTCATAGCACATATGACGATGGCAGGGGACTAAGTAGCAGATTCCTATCTTCTGCTGAGGCCCTCTCAAAGCTTCCAGGAACTTCTGGTTTAGGGAGTCACTTCTCCACCTGCTCAGACCCCACCTTGACAGCTGCACAGCCCAACTGAACCCAGGAGAGCGCCAGGGCACCACAGCTAAATCTGTATTCCTGCCAGACCCTGTCATGTTTGTTTTCCTCCGTGGGTGCCATGACCTGGAAAGCAGCCGCGGTGATGCTGCACCCGACCTCATTCTTGCAGCCACTAATTGAACAGTTTGGAGGGAACTGTGCCACAAAGCAGCCCAAGGGTGAGAGCAGATGCAGCCAATTAATTACAGCTGGGGAGATGCGAAGGGCTGCACTGGGGAGGCGCTGGAAGGCCCAGGGGCTTGGCAGCCTGGGGAGTGAGTGCTCAGGTGGGCTGTTCCTAGGTTCAGCCTCAGGCAGAGCCTTGTCAGGGCAGGGTTGGGGCCAACTTCAGAGTAGGGGCTTATCGGGGCAGAGGAGCTTGGTGGGAGCTTCACAAAGCCCAGCTCCCGTTCTAGAGACCCTATCTTCCTCTGGTTATATCTCCAGGCTGATAGAGATAGCGGGAAAGAAGCCAGAAGCAGGGCTTCAGCTCCAAGGTATTGAAGATTCTGAGAATGATGGCTGCTGCTTTCACGTTTGTTAAGTGCTTATAATGAGTAAGGAATTGTGCCAGGGGCTTTACATATTTTATCCCACTAAGCGCTCAAAACAAGCTGTGAGGTGTTATTATCATTCCCATTTTTCGGATGAGAAATAGTGTCCCAGAGAGGTTAAGTAACTTCTTGAAGGTTCCACAGTGAGTGGGGCAGAGCTCAGCCAGGTTTATCTAACCGCTGCTTTTTGCCTTACACAGCACTGCCCCAGGGGACACCCCCATCCTTGGTCAACCACCATGAGAATGCATGCCCTGGCCTGCTCTTCGCTTCTGTCTGCTTAGGCACTCCAGCCCCTTTCCCTTTCTTCCCATCTCTGCAGCAGGCTTAAGATGTACAGATCAAGAAGTGCATAGCCAGGACTTAAGACATGGCTAAGGCCATGCCTTGCTGCTTTCCAAGGAGCTCTGGAGTTGGCCTTGCTGGTCACTGCCTTTACTCCTGCTCTCTCTGGCTCCCTGAACTTCTCAGCATCCATCCCCACTCCTCTCTGACCTCACCCAGGCAATATCCACACTCCCCTCTTGGCCTTGCCCCTTTGTCTCTTCCTGTGCATGTCTAGTCTCCCCAAACAATGCTGGGATTGGGGACTACTGGCTTTCTTCCCATTTCTGCAGCAGGCTTGAGGAAGAGCTAGGTGCCAGCTCCTTTCTCTCCTCTGGCTCTGCAGATTGACAGTTCTAATTTGTCCAAGTGAGCTCAGGAAAGAGATGAAGGACTGGTTTGACACTGGTCAAACACAGGGGCTCTTGAGTCAAGTAGCTAGCTGCAGGTCAAATTTCAGTGCTAAAACTTATTCTCAATGTCACTTCAAGAAAGTTATCAGACCTCATAGTGCTTCAGTGTTCTCATCTGTAAAATGGGTCTAATGACAATACTAACTTCTATTTCATAACAGTTGCTTTGAGGTCGAAATGAGATGATATATGGGTGCTGAGCTAAGTGTAAGCTAAGCATTCAGTGAAAGTTAGCTATGATTTTTCTCATGACTGTTTTATGATGAAGAAATCCAGAGGGAAGCTGGGTTAGCTGAGGTCCAAAGGAAAAGTAGCTTTGTTTTCACGAGCGTCCTGTGCAGGTGGAGCCTCTGCATATTGTTCTTGGTGGGGACTCAGGGCAGGGGCAGGCAGGCTGACTCGAGGAGGGGAGGTGGTTGGTGGGGACATTGCCCAGCGTGGCATTGGCTGCCCCTCTATGGGCCTGCACAGCTCTCACCATGGTTTCCAGCAGGTGATCAGTCCCCAACACTGGATTTGTAAAAGGATACAGGAGAAACTAATGTCAGAGCCTCCCAGAAGGAGAAGAGGTGCCGAAGAAGCCACTCCAGAATGGTCTCAGTCCCATCAGCATCCTCAGCGGATGTTCATACTCTGTATTAAAAGCTTTTGTGTCTGAGATTGGGATTTCAGGAGGGTTCTGCCCTGAGGAGCCCCCTAATCAGGACCAACGAGTGAGGACAAGTCGAGGATGTGTTGACAGCTTCTCCTCTCTTTCCTAATCCTCTCACTCCTTTGACTTTACAGGGCAGTGATGCCAACTTCGTGGCTGCACATTTTCATTCCCTCCTGGCTTCTAAAGACACCTGGATGCTGGGTCTGAGAAAGCAAATTGTGGCATTCTTTTCCACTTGAAGTGTATGTGTGTGTGTCTGTGTGTGTGTGCCTGTGTCTGCACTCCTCACAGTAGGCTAGAGCCCAGCTGACGAGCTCTGTAGGAATCTATGGCATTGGCGGTGCCAGCTCTCCTGCCCGGCGTGAATCCTTGCTGGCTCTGTCTTAGCTGATAGTACATTCAAAACCTAACTGTTATCTCAGCAGAGTAACTCCATTATTCATCCTGACACCATCCCCTGTTAGCTGTTTGTTGCAGTGATGTTATATTAATGAGGCCTGCAAATAAATGAACGAAAGATCAGAGTGCCGGCTTGTTTCTCAGGAAAGCTGGCTGACTTATTTATTTATTTGTGGGGGACTTTGCAGTGAGTCACTCTGGTCCTGGGCAGGTGGCTTTTGGCCTTTCCTGCAGAGATTTGGTGCAGCCTTGCAGATAAATACTTTTAAATGTCCCACAGTTTCCCAAACAGTTTCACAAATGCATTTGCATCTGAGAGAATCTAGGCGAAACCAATCTACTTTAAATTATTTGTGAAAGTGGAGAACAGGAGCCAGCAGGAGTGATGGATCATCTCAAACTATTAAGGTATCAAAAATTATTTGAGCTTGGTTTTGGAGGCCAGTGTACATGGTTTTCTATAATTGATTTTCTTTCTCAGTTACACGTACCTAAGATGCGTAAGATAATGTTAAAGAGAATTTATATTCCCTAAGCATGGACTAGGGAGGTGTTGGAGAAGTTACTGAGGCTGAAAAATTCACAAAGTAAAAGCTACATGGTGGTCATTGGAGAAACAGCTGTTAAACTAACACCCCCACTGCCTGGCATCAATGTGGCCTTATGGTGCAATGTGCCAGGTGACTTCAGGAACACACAGTCATGTTCTTTCACATCTTAAGGGTGGTGGGTTCCTGGTCACACCAACTCTGGTGTTCATCTCCTGCATCTTAAGCCTGATTTGCCTTGGCTTCACCCTGATCTCTGTTCTTGCCTGCAAGTGTGAACTACCTGGGCCCCATTGTCTGGCCTCTCCCATTAGGCTGAGATGCTTGAGAGGTCAGAGCTGCCAGGCCAGGGAATCCAGCTTTCACTTTAGCTTAATGGCCATCTCATTGGTGGGCATAGCCAAAAAAACAACCCAACTGAGTGTGATAGCTTCAAGAAATAACTGGGGTAGAGGTTAGAATAATGCTTCCCCCAAAAGGCAAGAAATGACTGCCCCAAGCTCACATGCCCCAATATCCCCTTCTTGTTTTTCCTCCCACTCATAGGAGTAAGTGTGGACCTCATTACATTTAGGAAGACAGTTAGGTGAAGATTACTTTAAGGCTCAGTACAAAGGGTAGCCAATGTTCCCAATTTATCTGGCATCTCTTGGTAAGTTCCAAGAGGATTCTGATCCTGCACGCAGAGACATTTTAGGTACTCTTGGGGTGGGATGAGGTGGGGAAATGTATAGCCAAGGAATAGCCCTCCATCCCCCTCACCATGGTGTGGTGGAGGAAGTCGGCCTTCTGCTCTGCCACTAACCAGATGTGTGTGTGACACTGGGCTAATTCTTTACTTCTCTAAGAACTGTTTCCCCAACTCTTAAGTGAAGATAATAATAGCCAACTTGCAGGGTTGTTTGAAGGAGTAGGCTCAGAGCCTGGCACATGGGAGAGTCTTATTAAAGAGAAGCAATTATCATGAAGACTCCCAGAATTAGAATGTTGGCTGGTCTGCTCATGTCCCTTGCCTGAGGTCCTGAGGTTAGTGTCCTCATTAACAGAAGACCTGTATCCCTGCTTCAGTCCTTCTACACAGGACACAACTGCAGAGGGTGGAGATTAGAAGTCTGCCCTAGGCCTTTTGGAGGAAGCACAATGGCCTGCAGGGCAGTCAGTTTCCAGCCTCTTCCAGGTGGCCAATGTTCAAGCATAGGCTGGGGCTACATTGGAAGAGGCTGCATAACCTAGCCTCCTTAACCAGGAGTCACATATACATGTGACAGACAACTTCCAAGCCCAGCATAGTTCATGGCATACAGTAGTCATTAATTAAATATTCATTTAATGAGTGAATTAACATATTTGGAATGGTGGCATCTCCCCCCTCTGATCAGAATGCTCACTCTTATGGTTTGACTCTTGTCTCCTCAAAATTCATATGGTGAAGACCTAATTCAGTGCCTTAGAATGGCACCTTCTTTGGATATAGGGTCTTTAAAGAGGTAATCGTATTAAAATGAGATAATTAGAGTGGGCACTAATCCAATATGACAGGGTCTTTATTTAAAAAAAAAAAATAGGGAGACAGACACACACACAGAGATAGAATGCCATGTGGACATGAAGGCAGAGGTCAGGTTGATGCTTCTACAAGCCAAGGAACAGCAAAGATTCCCAGCAACCACCAGAAGCCAGGAAAGAGACCTGGAACAGATTCCCCCTCACAGCGCTCAGAAGGAACCCACGCTGCTGACACCTTGATCTTGAAGTTCAGACCTCCAAATATATTCAGGTTGTTTAAGCCACCTGTTTGTGGTTCTTTGCTAGGGCAGCCCTAGGAAACTGATACACTCGCTTGGAGTGAAGAAGACCTCTGTTATGTGAGCTCCAAAATCCCTTTACCCTCCCTGAGTTTATCTTCCTGAGAAAATATTCAGTCTCTTCCTTTTCTGCTGGATCCTGCCTACTCATGGCCCCTTAAGAAATGTTTTTCTCTGGGCCTTCCTTTCCAGTCTGTGGCTCCTAACACCCTCCTCTTTGAGGTCCCAGCAGGTCCTGAAGCATAGGCTGGGGGAACGGAAACGTGGCGGGCCAGCCATCTCATGGGCTTTCCAATCCTCTGCACGTCTCCTGTTCCTAGGGTTGAACAGGTGACACGTGCACAGACACCCACGATGACAGCTGGAAATGGGAGCAGCTCAGGAGGCCTCCCATGGGGGACAGCATCATTATCACACCACGAGCTGGCTGAGGAGCAGAAGGTAAGTCCTGAGGGGGTCCTAACCTGAAGTTTATGCAAACTGTGAAATTCAATAGCCTGTACAACTTGTTCTACATGAAGCTGCCATAAAAGATGGGTCCCTCGGGTGGGCCTGGTTGCCATGGAGAAGATGGGGTAAGGAGGGGTTAAGGAATAACACAGCTGTTTATCTAACTATGCGTGAGCCCACTTCTTTTTCTAACGTAGAACTCCTTTGAGATCATCTCATTTATTTCTCTGCTGTCCCAGGAAGGACAGCATCCATTCCAGCTTCCACTTATTTCCAGGACTGGAGATTCTGCCACCCCCAACTGCCATCACAGGCCATCTTAGAATCCTTCTCTTTTCATCCTTCAAGAAGGATCTTTGTAGTAAATGGCTTCTATTTACTGCACAGAGTGGCTGCACTAAGGAGGACACCCATTCTGAAGATGAAGGCTGGGGACAAGGAGGTCTGCATCAAAGGGTATGGGCCTCATGGAAGTCCGATGATTCAGAGGTTTGGGGAAAACATCTATGCCAGTGCAAAGGGATTAGCCAAGAAAGCTGAAGTAAAGAAAATGAGTTGGCCGGGCATGGTGGCTCATGCCTATAAATCCAGCACTTTGGGAAGTTGAGGTGGGCGGATCACCTGAGGTCAGGAGTTTGAGACAAGCCTGGCCAACATAGTGAAACCCTGTCTCCAGCAAAAATACAAAAATTAGCTGGGCGTGGTGGCACGTGCCTGTAGTACCAGCTACTCGGAAGGCTGAGGCAGGAGAATCCCTTGAACCCGGAGGCGGGGGTTGTAGTGAGCCAAGATCACACCACTGCACTTCAGCCTGGGCGATAGAGTGAGACTCTGTCTCAAAAAAAAAAAAATAATAAGAAAAGAAAATCTCCTTAAAGGTTGCTTTTAGCAAATTACATATTCTTGCCAAAAACACCATAGAAATGAGGTTGTGTCCTTCTCAGAGCATTCTATTGAAAGGTACATGAGGTTGATTTTTCCCATTACTGGCTTTGTTTACTTTCATCAATTGGTTTAGGTGAGGTCTACCACGTTTCTTCACTGCCCAGTCACTATTGTTCTTGTCATAATTAACAAGTATCTTATGGGAAGGTAGCTTAAGGTTATGTAAATATCCTATTTCTCATCATACTTTCATCTACTAATTTTAGTGTTCATTGACCATTCTTTGCCTGAAACAATTATTACTTGTGTACTGTGCCAAATGGTGATTTCTATTTCCGTAATTACTTCTACATTTTTTAGTTGGAATCTAGTGTAAAGAAGAGCTTTTCTCTCTATTTATTTATTTAGAGATAGGGTCTTGGCCAGGCATGGTGACTCAAGCCTGTAATCCCAGCACTTTGGGAGGCCAAGGTGGGCGGATCACTTGAGGTCAGGAGTTTGAGACCAGCCTGGCCAACATGGCAAACTCCACCTTTACTAAAAATACAAAAATTAGCCAGGCGTGGTGGTGCATGCCTGTTGTCCCAGCTACTCAGGAGGCTGAGGAGTGAGAATTATTTGAACCCAGGAGGTGGAGGTTGCAGTGAGCCAAGATTGCGCCACTGCAGTCCAGCCTGGGCGACAGAGTGAGACCCTGTCTCAAAAAAAAAAAAAAAAAAAGTTAAAAAAGAGACAGGGTTTTGCTCTGTTGCCCAGGCTGGAGTGCAATGGCATGATCATAGTTCACTGTAGCCTCGGACTTCTGGAATCAAGTGATCCTCCCACCCCAGTCTCCCGAGTAGCTAGCACCACAGGCATGCACCACTACACCCAGCAAAATTTAGAATTATTATTATTATTTTTTAGAGATCAGGATTCTGCTATGTTGCCCAGGCTGTTCTTGAACTCCTGGCTTCAAGCAATCCTCTCAGCTTCTGCTCCCCAAAGAACTGGGATTACAGGTGTGAGCCACTGCAGCTGTCCCCCCATTATTTATTTACTTGTTTGTTTCTTTTTTTCAGGAAGAACCATGGATTCTTATTCTATTGGTGAAATCCACGGCTATCAATTTTTATGTTCTTGCTCAAATTGCCCAGATTCGGCTTCTGAGATCCCCTTCAAGTTGTGTCAGGTGCCCTGTTGATAGGTACCATACAGGTATTTTTGGTACTTTTGCCACAGTAATATGTAACCTGAATTTGATCATGAGGAAGCATTAGACAAATCCAAATTGAGGGACATTCTACAAAATAACTAGCCTGTACTTCTCAACAGTACCAAAGTCATAAAAGACAAAAAAAGACTGAGGATTAAAAGACTAAGGAGACATGACAATAGAATGCCACATGGGATCCTGGATTGGATCCTAGACCAGAAAAAGGACATCGGTGGGACAATTGGCAGAATATTAATAAGGCACGTTTATTAGATGGTATTATTGTATCCATGCTAATTTCCTGATTTTGATAATTATACTGTGGTTATGTAAGATGTTAACTTTGGAAATCTGGGTGAAGGGTATATGAAAGTTCTTTGTACTATTTTTGTACCTTTTTATAAGTCTAAAATTATTTCAAGAATGAAAAGTTAAAGAAAGAGACAATGACTTTCACAGGGAAAGGAGGATGGGGTAGGGGTAGGAGAAAATGAAAAGAAAAAAAATATTGAAATGAAAATAATGAAATGAAAGAAAATATTCCAGATAATCATGAATACAACATTCCAGGCCTGGATGCTCCCTCCCCCATGTCCTGTTCAGAGTGACCTCCCCCGAGTGGCTTGGGACACAGCATGGATTTGTCTCTCTCCAAAGATGCTCCTTCATTTCACAACAGCCTTGACTTGAAAAGTACCAGCAGGAGATTGGGGCCTCTGATGCCTGCTGATATGTTCACTGGGAAAATCAATTACAGCATAATTACCTCGGGGGGTTAATTAGCCTCGCGTAGCCTGGGTGTCCTCTGTGAACAGAGCAGCCCGTCAGCCCCCGGTCAGCGAGCAGGGGCGGCTGAGGCAGAGGTTTCCCAGTGAGAAGCTTGCCTTCGGCTGGAAAGGGGCCCCAGCCAGTTGGGGAGTGGATGGTGCAGCTGCTGGGGCTGGCAGAGGCGGGTGGTGCTGATAGAAGCAAGTCTCTGCCTAATTTAAGCTCCCCCACACCATGGGTGCCCACAGATGTAGAGACTGACAACTGCAGCAGCAAGAATTACAGAACAGTGCAAGTTCTCAGGCCAGCAGTGGCCGGAAATCACTCGAATCAGGGGGAAGGCACGGAGCCCTGAGCAGCTCAGGAAGCTAGCTGTCTGAGGGCAGAGGCTGGGGCACCACCAACAGCCCCTGCAAACATTCTCTTCCAGAGACATAAAGACACAGGAGAAAGTCAGGAGGCACCATCCCTGGTCACGATCAAGAATAAAATGGGATTGAAGTAGCTCTGTCTTTGAAAGGCAGTGTCTGTGCTCTCCTAACTCCTCTCTGCACAGATGAATGAGGGCCTGGATGCAGTAAGAGCTCTCCCACCGACAGCCCTGCATTGTCCGGGATATGGTGTCTTGTGGATGGATTGCATCTATCTGGTCTATGAAAGGTCCGGATATGAAGGAAGGGGAAGCACCACTTCTTCTTTTATGTTACTTGGGAATATTGTAAAGAATTTAAAAATGGTTTTATAATTAAATATGAGTTCAAATGTTGGCTCTGCCACTTATCAGCGGTATAAACTTGGGCATGTCACTCAATTTCTCTGAGCCTCATTTTCTTCATCTGTACAGTGGGGGTGAGAATACTTATTTCCCATGGTGGTTGTGAGGATTAAATGTAATTTACTCACATTAAATAAATAATTTCTACCTCTTCAAATAACCTATCTGTAGGTTAGCAGCACCCATTCTATCTTGAGGGTTTCTTTTTAAAACTGATCTGGGGTTTTGATATAATCATAGAGACGTTCTAGAAGTTTCCCAATATTCTGTGACATAGGTGAGGACCAGAGTTGCTTTCCTTGGCCAGCAGGGAAAATGAAGCAGGGAAAAGGATGGTGCAGCAGCTCAGGGAAGAGGCAGAAAAGGAGCAGCCTCTTCCTCCTTTCTTAAACATGCAGATCACTGGGTACCTGCCTGGGCCTTTATTCCTAGCCACCACCAGGAAAGTGCAGTTAGTTTCAAAGCATGAGTGACAGTTATAGACTAGGGAGCAGTGAAGAGGGAGCACAGAACACAACCAAAGTTAAATACAGCAACTCCTCTCCCAGGCCATTTGAAACCCAAGCAATTGCATTTTCATCCACATCATCTTCCTTTGGAATTTGCTATTTTGGAAACATCATTTTTTCCCCAGGATAATTAACTTCCTTTTCTTTCCATTAAAATGCATGAAAAAATTGGGACGGGGAGTAAATCCTGGGAAATGGCACGGTGGCTAATGTAGTGCCTGCCTTTACTCTCTTCTTCCATTTTCAGCTTTGCAACTCCGAGCTAATTGCGGCTCCTGAAATCACATTTCTGCTGAGAAAAGCTAAACCTGTTTTCTGAAATGTTCACCCACCATGGAGCCAATTTCTCCTCCTCACTTGGCTCAGCCAGCCTGGCAGGGAGACTGGGTTGGCTCTGCCTCCCTTGTCGTGTGCACGTGCACACCAATGCGCTTGTACATTCATGCGCAGGCATGAGGATGCGCTTCCATACACTTACCTCTTATACCTAGACAGGGGCCGTTAAGACACACGCGAGAGGTTTCCTACACCCCCCCACATTAAACTCACTGTACGCCAATAATTTGTCCACAGAGTCTCAATTTGCACTCCTCTCCCACTGTCTTGGGGTCAGCTCTTGGCCACCCCTTCCTGCTCTAGAGACTTGCAGGACTTACCTCGGTGATTTGAGGGTTGGAGCACTTGACATTGTGGCTGGACCAGTCGAGCCAGGGGCTGGAAGGGCTGGTACAGTGCTGGTGGAGGGTGCACCTGCGCTCGCCGCTGCACCAGCCACACTCAAACTTCCGGTCGGCCTTGAGGCAGAGGCCGCAGCTCTCCCGCTGGGCTGCACACTTGTAGAGATGGACTGCAAAGAGAGCAGGTGGTCACAGATGAAACCAGAAAGGGCTGCTCACAATGCACCCTCCTCTTGCAGGTGTGATAGAAATGATAGAAACTCTTCCCCACCATGGATAACACCACCAATCATCATTATCATTGCAAGAATGACTGAGGAATTAGTAAATTGAGCCTCTTACCAGTCACTTAAGGGCACTAGGAAGAATAATATTATTTAAGAATTCTGGCTCTAGATTGAATCAGATTAGGGCTTTAATTGTGGCCTCACTACTTCCTAGCAATGTGAGAGAGGATTCCACCTCCTTGAACCTCACTTACCTAATCTCTAACATGAAGATAATCGTTGTTTTTTTTTGTGAGGTTGGAATAAGATAATGTATATTAAGTGCTTAGCACAGTGCCTGTAACATATCTGATGCCCTATATATGTTTATTATGTTTTCTTTGAACTCGTGCTATATTCTTATGCTGCCATCTCTCTTATTCTCCACTCTCACATATGGTCCTCATGCAGGAGGTAAGGGCTGCTTTCCTCCATTGAAGGAAAAATGAGGCTCAGGGAGAGATAATGACTCTTAGAGCTTAGTAAAATTAGTGACCCAAACTGGAATCTTCAAACTCCAACTTGCTTTGCTGCTTAATGGTAGGTCCTGAGAAGTGAGGACTGTTGTCTGGCAAACTGGAAATTGCATGGGTTTGAGACGGGAGTCAGCTTGGGGTTAAAGAAAGGCCAGGTGGCTAGCAGTGAGGGAAGCATTGCTGATTAAAAAAAAGGGGGTGACACAGTCTGTTCCCAGCCCTTATGAATGGAGAATATGTCCCCAGAGAGGGCAAACTGGCTATTTAAATAGTAACATTTGGAGTGTGCAAACCCTTTGTCTTTTTTTTTGTCTCCTGCTGACTTAAAAGTGCTAGTATAACCAGCGAATTAGTGAACTGTGCTTCAGGTTCAGGAACCTGGTCTTAGCTCCTTGCCTGCTGAGATTTTGAGTTACAAGTAGAATTCTCCAAAAGCAAAACACGTAAAAGTCATTTTTCCACTCTTTTGGTCAAGCACATGTAAGCTTTCAGGACCAGGTGGTATGCCGTTGCTGAAAGTGAGACACATGCCCCAGGGAAAGGGTAATTTTAAAATTCTTCCCATAGGTCCTCATCCTGTTCCTCTGCTATGTCCAGCATCCTTTAGTCCCAGCTGCAGGGCCTATATTTAAATACCCTCATGCTTATCGCTTTGTAAGGTAGAGGGCAGGAAATGGGAATCTTAAAATGAATGAGTACACACTGAGCATCTATAAATATGTACCACATGGTTCATACCCATGAGCTCATTTGATCCTCACGGTGACCCTGAGAAGTGGGCATCCTTCCCTCCACTTCACAGATAAGGAGACTGGATGTAAAGGGGAACAGTCATTCATCTGAGTTCACACAGCTGTAAGTGAAAGAGCCAGCAGGTGAACCCCACTTTGCTGGATTCTAGAACCTGAGTCTTTAAATGGTGTGGTCCTCTCCACCCAGCCCAATGCGCAGCCGGCAGAGACACTCAGGCTAGTGGGTGGAGGTGATACGAATGTGAAGACAACGCTGTCTGTGCACTCTCAGAGCTTCTTCAACATTGCAAGAGTCACAAGTAGAGTTTCCGATGCAACAGCTCGGATGTGGCTGCTCTCTAAGCTCCAGGTGCTAAGGCAACCTCTGGGATCTAAGCCCAGATCCCCAGCAGGGTAATTGTCTCCTATGTTTTAGCAGTGAGAAAGTTTGGCCTGGGTATGAGGAGAAATAGAAAAAAATAATCCTCCTGGCTCCGTTCCTTTCTCCCAGTCTAAGTAGCCTTGATTTTAATGGCAGCATTTGGGACAGGGAGCTACAGCCCTAAAGATGCTGAAAAACTTGCAGCCCCTGCTATGGCCTTGCCCCCTACCCCATCTCCATTGGCTGATCCGTCAGGTGGAAGCAGAGGCTTGTGACAACCCTAGCTACTTGAAGTGTGGCAAGGCTTGTGGCTGAGGGTAGGAGGAGTGTGGGGGATAGGAATATATTCCAGGGGGGAAGGAGTTTAAATCCTACAGTGGCCTAAGTAGTAGATCCTCACAGTGATGTGGCTCAGTTTGCGAGCTCTGAAATTAGACTGTCTTGGTTCCAATCCCAGCTCTTACTATCTGACTCGTGGCCCATTTCTTAATCTCTTTGGGTCTCAGTTTCCTCATCTAGAAAATGAGAATAATAATAGTACATACCTCTCAGAGTTATTGTGATGCTTAAGGAAAATAATCTCTAATAAATTACTTAGTGAGTGTCTACCCATCACGAGTCCTCATCATATTGGAGTCACTTTTATCATTCTCGAGAGCAGGGTGGAATCTTGGCATTTGCTGCACTGAGGGTCGGGCCTAACTGGCACATGGGAGGAGCTCGACATGAGTTTATAGGACGATGAATAAGGGTCACCCTCATGGAGCACCCCTCCTTCTTCAGCCAGATCCCCTTCCTGAATTCTTTGCTCCCGATGTGAGCTGGACTCTGCATGCTGCTCTCTCCCGCCCACCTCAGGAACTGGAGAGCAGCCTTAAAAACCCTCTTTGTGCAGTGATTGTGACCAGGGCCAAGGACAGGGGAACAAGAGCCTGACTGGAAACAATATCTCCATTTCCAGGGAAACTAGCCGGACGTTCCTGCCTGCTGTTCTCCTAGGTCAGGTTCCACAGACACTTCAAAGCCTGCAGGAGCCAAAGAATAACGTGGATGGGCCGGCGGCCGCCCAGCGGATGCTCTGGTTGTAATAAAACAGGGCTCCCAACAGGACTCCTTTGATGACTCCAAATGTTGCTTTAGGATCCTCTGAAGAGTTCCGCCGACAGAGGGAGTGTATTATTCATGGCACAGCGGCTGGCTGGCTCTGATCCCTCTAGCCCCAGTCTTTCCCGGGGTCGTGAAAAGATCAAACTTCTACCCGGAAGTAGCCGCTTACCTTTCAGGTCCTGAGGGTTGTCAATGATGAAATTGCCGTTCCACACCACAGCGAAATCCACGGCCAGATTGCTGATGTCCATGCCATCATACTGGTACTATAGGGAGACGGGCAGAGGCATGGGGCTCATGTGGCTCTCTATCACAGGGGTCAGGGATGCAGACAAACCCTGCATGCTGCTCAGATTATTATGACGCTCTTTCCCTGAATCCCAGTCACTAATGCCAAGAGAATCCCACCCAAGCCTCCTAGCTTGGCATTCAGTGCCCTGCATAATCGGATGCAAACTGACTCCTCCAGCTTTCTCCTCCACTGCTCTCCCGTGGAAAGCTTTGAATCTACCTTTCTCCAAACACATCTTCTTAAGCCCCTCTCTGTCTTTGTTGAGTTCCTATCTCATAAGGAATGCAACCGTCTCCCTACAACCTCCATCCTTTTAACCCACCCGTATTCTTCTAGCCCAGCTCAGCTCTACTTTCCCCAGGAGTCCTCTCCCACAACCCTGCAGATCTGCCTCAAACTGTCCATCCCCTGGTGTTGCCACTTTCTGTCTTGCACTGGCACTTTCCAGGATCTGCTGTGCCTCTTTTCACGTGTCTCCCTAAAAAGTCCATGTGTCTCCAGAGGCAGAGCTAATGCCCTCTTACTACTCTTGTAAGGCCGAGAGTCTCATCGAGCAGTCACCTGGCCAACCCCTGCGGTGGCCCTCTATTTCCGCACGAGCCTTACTTTAGCCAATGGTCCACTAGGGAGAAGTGCCCACAGCTTTCCGGACACAGACCTCATCAGCCCACAGCTTTCCGGGCACAGATCTCATCAGCCCTATCGTTAAAGTCCTCTAGCTGTGGCCAGGAGTCTATGACTTTCTCTCTTGTGCTGATCCCACAGAAGACATTTAGCCCCTTCACACTTCAGAAATAACACCCCTGGGTGGCCAGTCCTGGCACCCTGTGATGGAGACCTCGGGGCATCTTCCCGACCCCCCACTCTTCAGCTCTGAAGGGCATGTCACTGTCAGCCTTCTGCTCCCGCCCTCCCCTGCCCACTGCCTCCCTTTGTTGTGTCCCTTTTCTTTCTCATCCTGCCTTCCCCTTGCGCTTGGCGGCCTTCCACCGATTACAAATTCTATCTATCAAGCGCCTGTGACCTGGGAATCTGACAGCTCCCTGATAAGAGGCCCAGATTCCCTTTATCTCTCCCAGGCGAATTAGCTTCCCTCAACACCTTTGTCACATCCTCCCCTCCCTCATCTCCAGCTGACCCCCCACAGTCAGAGACAGGGAGCTGGCAGATAAAAAGATCTTCTTGGGGTTAGTATTATAATTAAACACCTCATGCTCTCTGTCTGCCATTCTGGATTGGTTTAACCCTTGCTGCTCCTGAAATTCACTGCTTCCTCCTACCCCTCCCCTCCCACCTCCCCTCCTCCCATCTCACTTCCTGTCCCTCTCTTCTCCAGCTTTTGCCTGTGGAGCACCCTCCTGGTTATTCACTCCCTGAATGGGGATGTGGAATGGGGTGTAGGGTGGAGTTGACTCGCTCTGGTTCAAGTTTCACTGAAGACAAAGAGGTGCTCTTTCAACTTCAGAAAGGTCCATGATGTGATTATTTGACATTGCACGCCTGTATCAAAACATCTCATGTAGCCCATAAATACATACACCTACTGTGTTCTCACAAAAATTAAAAATAAAAAAATTTAAAATTTAAAAAATCAACTTCAGAAAGGGCACAAAGATCTCAGTGTCTGCCATGAGGGTCCTCACGGAACTGTCTCCTCTGGCACCAGTCACCTGCCCTGCTCTGGCTGAGCGGCTGGGGTGCTGGCTGGCTCCTGCATCCCTGGGGATGTGGGCTCAGCCTGTGAACCTGGAAGGCTCCGGAAGCCAGGGCTGGCCATACTGAGGCCCCAGCACGAGTGTGAGAGGAAGCCCTGCTCCAGGCAGGGCCCAGCCTGCGTTTTCTTACCGAGCTGTTCTGACACTGAACGCTGGAGCTGTTGAAGCGCAGAGCGGGGACCCGGTGGATGGCTCCTTGTATGTTGAGGACACACTCATAGCCTCGCTGGCCGGACTGCGGCTGGGGCAGATTTCGCGCCTTAAGGGTGATTGGCTTTACCTCCCCGACTGGAATCAAGATCTCCTCTGTGGGCACCAGCTGGGGACAGTCCTGGGGGAACAAACGAAGAGGCTCCATCTGTCCCCTGTTCATGCTGTCCTATGTGCCTGGGACAGGCAGGCCCCTCTTGTATCAGGTGAGCTGCCCAAGAGCAGGATATTACCTCATGTAAGGCCCGTGGAATGGGCAGGGAAAATGGAATCGCTCTTAGCTCCTGGGCTTTGATATTGTCATCCCCGTCCCACAAGTTGTCCTGTATCTGCTGTGTGTGTTACAATTCAGGAATTAATTTTCAAGCACAGTGTGGCAAGCTGTGGATTTTATCTCCTGAGACACTGGATAAAAGAGCCTCCACGTGTCCCTGTCCCCAACCTGGCACCCCTACCTCTGGGTTTCATCTTGTTCCCCAGCTCCAGATACTCGGCCCCTTGCATTGTCTGATGCCGATGCCTGGGGCATCCGTTATCAGCAGCTTCAGCTTCCCAGCCCCGACTGAGCTAGGCTTTCCAGAAGGTGGATCAAGCCCTCCCAGCAATACTCTAAACACTTGCTCTGTTTTTTTTTTTTTTTAATCTCATTTCATTACCAGGCCCTGCGTGAATGCCATGTTGCTTTGGAAAACAAAACCAAAAAAGAAAGTCTTGGTAGGGAGGGGCTTTGGGAAGGACCATGAGAGAGAGACAGTGAGAAAGACAGATTGATTTATGGAGCTCCATGACTAGATGCTGATTTTCCACCAGAGGTCAAAGGGCCACCCCACTGTGCCAATCTCCTCTTTCTCCTTCTCTCCTCGGGCAGATGAGCCTGGTAGCCCCTGGCAGTGATGATGTGGGAACCACCTCCACAGGGAATCACTAGGGGAATTCTCATAGGAGGCTCCCCTTTCTCTGTCCCCTTCTCCTGGGCAGTGGTTCTTAGGGGGAACTTCTGGGAATGTCTGGGGGCTGATGCTGCTACAGGGCCTGCAGAGGGTGTTACTGGCATTGATGCCAGGGGCCAGGATTGCTGGATTTCCTACAAGGTGTAGGACATGTTCAATGACAAAAATATTGTCCTCCTAATGGCAAATGCAATAATTAAGAAGCCTTGTGCAATGCCGGCACAGCCTCACACAGGGAATCTCCTGTGGCCACCTCTTGTCATGGTGTGGCTCGGGCTGTTGCCTCTTTTCTCTGGGCCCCACTTGCAAGCCGTTCAGCATCTGGCCCTTGCCTACCTCCCTCTGAACTCTGTGGTTCTTGCACATAATAGTCCAGCCATACTGAATGTATGGTTAACTCTGAGATGCCCTCTCCCTTACAGGATCTGCCTCTGGCCCTTTGAACATGCTTTTCCGTCTATTAGAAACACACACTCCTGCCTGTCTTCCTCCTGCTGCTGCCCTGCTTCAGCCCCTCTTTTAGTTGATTACCTCTTCTTTTACTTTTTTGGTTTTTTTAAATCATCACCTTCTCTGAGAATTAATAATTGATTACCTCTTAATCAGCCTTCAAACTCAGCCCAGTTTCTTCTCTGCAAGGCCGTCCCTGCCCCTGCCCCTGCACTGGCTTCAGGATGAGTTATGAATATTCACCCATGATTGCTTTTGACACACAGAATTACAATTTCTTGATTTGCTTTCCTCACTGGGCTGTGAGCTTCTTGAGGATTAGGCTGCATCTTACTCACCTCCATCTCCCCAGTCTTTCTGCCAGTGCTTGACATGTAACGGACATGTCAAGCATGTCATTGCTTGTGGGAGGGTAAATAGAAAATAAAATAAAGCAACCTGTGAAAAAATCTTTTTTTTTTTAGCTCCAACTTTGTAGATTCTTTAGAGATGAGGTAAAGCCTGCCTTCTGGGCTTGAAGAGACTTGAGAAGGCATTTGGTTCTCAAAAGCTGGAGTTGGAAATAGTCATGGGTTTTGGAGTCACATGATTTCTAAAGTGGCATGTCCACATTTACTAAGGATAATTTACTACTGACAATTTCTGAAGAGCCGGATCTGGGGGAAATTCTGCACAGAAACCCACCTAAGAGGGTCTGGACACACCGGCAGGCTCACCAGTGTCATCCCTTGTCAGCTGGCCACCTGCATGTGAGGACTCCAGGCAGGCACGGCATCCACGAGAGAGAATCACAAGGCAACCCCAGAACAGATGGGTCCCTGTTTAGGAGCCAGTCACTCAAGCTGCCAACTCATAAACTTGCTCTTTACTGCACTTTCACTTTCATTCCCTGCAGGCACTCTTGACAGACTCTTTCATATATTTATAGCCAAAAAAAAAAAAAAAAAAGATGAGCACCACTTTAGGGAAGCCCAGGCATCTCATAGAAAAGGAGATAACACTTCCTGTTAGCAGCTAAAATATCTGCATCAAATCTAATGTTAGAATTTAAGTTAGAAATAAGGCTGGGGTATAATGGTCTCTCTCGCACTCTCTCTCTCTCTCTCTCTCTCTCTCTCTCTGTGTGTGTGTGAGAGAGAGAGAGAGAGAGAGAGAGACAGACAGACAGACAGAGAGACAGAGAGAAAGAGAGAGAGATTTTCTTACTCCGAACCAGCTGATGAATTGTAAATGACGAGCAGTTGTTTTTCATCTCTAATGAGCTTAGACAACAAATTCAAATTTCAGTAGCAGGATCTTAAAGATGTGCTTTTGGAAGTATGATGTCTGGGGTTAGTAAAAAAAGATTGTTGAATCCTTTTAATGTGGACCAAAAAAAGTATACTTTTATATAGATGTTATGTGTAATACCTATATATAACACATATGTTATCTATATGTAACACACACACACACTTTCATCTTTTAGGCTGGGCTAAGTCCAGTCCAGCCTGGAGGTTGGAGAATCATGAGTAGACTTTATGAGTACTATTACATGAGTTTTTTTTTTTTTTAAGGGATTCTAGAATTTTAGGAAATTTCCCATGGTCTGCTGTTTCAGACTTTTTAGAATCAAATGTAAGGGTAACAATTAGGGTCTTCCCAAATGCTGAACCAGGCCCCAAGATTGCCCTAGTAGAAAAAGAATGTCTTATGCTTTGTTTCTTTATTTGGCAATTGCTCTCAGGTCAGACAGAATAGGATTTTTTCCCTTCTATTCTCTAAGGCAAAGGAAAGAAGCGGTTGGTGCCCCAGGTATGCTTTCTTCATCTTGGGAAATGGGAAGATACAGGCCTTTTGGGTTATGAGATGATTCTGGTGAGTATATTCATGAAGGATCTGTGAATCTTGGGTGGAAATTGCAGTGGTAAGGGCTGAAAGTGGGTGGAGGAGACTGGACCCCAAACAATTGCCAAGTTGTTGAAACTTCAATATCTGTGGGGCTTGAGGATGGTGAAGGGTTTAATCAGATACAATAAGGCCACTTCCAACCTGTTTGCTTCTGTGGGTATACACACACACACAGGCACACACATGTGTACATACACATACAGTACCTGTCTTATGAAAAAGAAAGCAAATCATCCTAAGATGCTTTTCCTGCAGAATGTTAAGACTGTTGTTCACATTCTTAAAATACTGATTGCTACCGCGGATCCTCACAGCCTTCTGAGTGATCTCTTTGGGTCATCTTCTTTCTCCTCTGTCTCTAGGCCAACTGGAGCCAGGATCACCTTCTCAGCAGCAATCTTAGTTTAAACCAAGACTTAAACTTGTAGGAATACCCCAGGGGTGGCGGTAGGCTGGGGAAGAGGAAACACAGCTGCAGGGAGAGCAGGGACCTGGTTTAGGAGCCCTATGAGTCTTGGGCTCACATTGCCCACCTGTTCAGCTGTGCTCTGCCAGCGTTCTGTGCTGGGGACCCTTTAGCCCTCTGAAGCGACTTCTCCCATGTGGAAATGGCATTATCTTCACCCACTGGACTTCAAAGAGAGAGCAGCCAGCATCCTGGGAAGCTAATCGGATTTATTTGGTTCTATCTTTCCCCTGGGACAGGGCATAAAGGAGATATTTATGTATCTACATCTCACTAGGCCTGGCTTAGCCATGGAGGGAGATGAGCTTTAAAAGCTGAAAGCCATACATCCTCCCGTGCACACCCGCTTGCTAACACCATGTCACAGCCTGATCTGACTCAGGGAGGAAGAGATTTGGGGGGCCCCCATCAGAGATCTGCTGTGCTCTGAGTGCTGGAAAGGTCTGACTCATTACCTTAAGAGAGCTTGACAAATGGTTTAATTGAAAGTCAGTTTCCTCCTCTATAAAATGGTGCCAATAATATCTGACAAACCTAGATTGCATGAAAGAGGAAAATCAATGTGTGTTGTAAGTGGTAATATGCTGGATTGACAATTGTTAATATTACCGCCTATTTGTGGTGTGTGTGCGTGTGAGTGTGACTGCAGAATCAGTGGACTTTCACTTATTCAAGGTCAGCTTGAAAAATTGTCTCTGAATCCTAATTTCTGCATTTATTTGATGATCATAGGAAAGCTGTTTAACTTATTTAAGCCTCAGTCTATTCATCTATAATATAATCCACTTCATAGAGTACTTAAGGTTAAATTATATATATGCTGCATATATAATAAGTACTAATATTTTTATTTTTGAATTGCATTCGTTCTAGCACAGCTGTTCTTCATTGTCAAGCCTAAGCATGGAATTGGTCCATCTGCCTTCTGGAAAGATGTGGGCAGATTTACCTCATATGCTGGCTGTCTTTTTATCTGGAAATGGCACCACTGACCCATCTTCTATGGGCAGTTTCTCCATCTGTGGAGATGGATTTGTGCTGGCCCATCCATAGCCTGAATCCTCATGACCAATAGCAAAGGACCAGGTTGAAGTCAGGCCAGCAAGTGTGGCTGTGACCATGGAAACAAAGCTCATGGGCCCTGATTTTCTGTAGAAAACATACTGTACTCAGCTTTTTTGGATGCCTGAGTTCTCTGTAGCCTTGGGCAAAAACCCGAAATTTTTAGCATTCTGGTTACTACAGATGTCAAATATAAATTATATGAAATTGCAGGGCTGTTGCAAGAATCCATTGAAATGCCAAATGTCAGTGGTTCTCAATCTTTAGCCTCATCTGGGATGGGGCCCAAGAATTTGAATTTCTATAAGTTCCCAGGTGATGCTGATGCTGCCGGTCCCTGGGCACACTTTGAGAACTCCTGGCACATGTGAAGAAATTATAAATGTGTGATATATTAATGTTGCTATATTAATCAATGGAGCTAATCAGTTATATATTGTTTCTAGGAAGCAGACAGACATAAAATTTTGATTCAAAGTTGGGAAGGGAGGCTTACTGGAATTCTAAAAGAGATATTCTAGGAACCCCTAAAGAGATAGCTAAGGGATTTCCAGTTAGCTGGAAATCCAGGGGATTCTAGTTCCCCAAACTACATGAAACTATCAGCTGGGACGCCTGAGAGAGTAAGGGAAACCTTACCCAAGTTGGGCATGTGCATCTTTGCTGTTCCTCAAATTTTCAGGGATGGGGTTCTCCTAAAGCAGAACTTTGGACAGAAAAGAGGGGGGCCTGGCTGCTGTTTGCTGAAAAGGAACATGTGGCCAGCTGTGGTTAAGAGCCAAAGCAGTATTTTAGGAAGCCCCGGAAGTGGCCCTGGCAACCTCGCTGGGAATCTGCACCCTGTTTCCTTTCCTGAGCAAAGTTGGGAGCTGGATGGAGTCTGGGCTTCCCTCACAGTCCTCCGGACAGCCAATCCCTGGGGCCATGCCAGGGACCAATGCACACGAGCATAAGAGAGCAGCCGTACACCATTCCTACTCAGGGCAATGGGGAGATGAAGGGAGACAAAGGGGACTGCTCTTCTCTAACCCTAAGCCACAGACATCAAGGACAGAAAATGAAACAAAAAGGAGGTGGGGAGTCTCTGAGTTTGCCCCTAGGTCCCTTTTGGTATTAATTTAATCCCGAGTTGCAGGGAGGCAACAGCTTCTCTTGGCCCAGCTCCGGAATGTTGAATCTCTCATCCATGGCTGAGAGGGAGCTGTATTTCAGTGACTTCCGAATGGTGTGAGGAAGGCCGGGCCTGCTTCCAATTAGCCTGCAGGGGCTCAGCTCTCTGGCCTCCACACACACCCCAGCAGAGTTTATTTATCTTGCTTTGAGTGACACTCGCATGCCCTTGCTTCAGCTGCAGGTCGCTTTCAGGCTTGGCTTTGGGTTTCTCTTGGCCTGAGGTGGGTAGCCTCAGGAGAAAGTGGAGCAGCTGCTCTTTGTTGTCTAGATTTGTACTTCATCCAATCTCTCTGTGTCCTGGGGGCCACCTCAATCTATTTTATTAAGGAACTTTCAAAGTGGCCCATGTCAAGGTTAGTTTCTGAGACTGTGTCTCATACTCTCTCACTGCTCAGTCTTCACCCCTGCCCAGGCCTCCCATGGTGGCTCTGCTGTTCCTGGCTAGGTCTGCCCCTCTAAGCGATTCTTTCATTGGCTCCAAGCTGTGGTGCCCACTCCCACCTCTCCCTGCAGCTCTGTGTGAAAGGACTGCCCCCAGAGCAGTTTCATACTGTTGCAGAATTCCAGGGCTGGAGTTAATCTCCAGTGTCCAGGAAGGCTGGTGTAGGGTTTTTAGGCCAGCTGCATCAAAGCATACCAACTGGCTAGAGGAAAATGCTTTTCTGAAAGGTTCTCAGGGCACTAGATGCCTGGTTTCGTCATGCTGAGGCACCCGTAGATGGGTCTGTTTGAAAAGCCACCTGTGGCATCTATGTTTCTCCCTTTCAAGACAGGCAAATTCCATTTTTCTGACTGAACATAACACCTGTTGTTTCATAAACTAAGAAGAGTTCAAAGGGGTATGTGTTTGAGAAACCTTTCAGAGTCTATTTTCTTATGTTTAGCCATGGAAGCAACCAGCACTGCTATCAAGATTAGAAGACACAAGACTCCATTACTTGAAATCTTAGACAAGTTGACACAATTGCCATCAATGGGATTTAAATAGAAAGGTCATTCGTTCATCCATTCTTTCATGCATGCATTCTACAAACATTTGCTAAATAAGACATTGAAGATTTAAAGATAAGATGTAGTCCTTGCCTTCAAGGAGCTTGTAGTCTAGCGCAAGAGGAAGATGTGTATAGAAAGGCTATAGTAGGCCGGGCGGAGTGGCTCACACTTGTAACCCCAACACTTTGGGAGGCCGAGGCGGGTGGATCATGAGGTCAAGAGATCGAGACCATCCTGGCCAACATGGTGAAACCCTGTCTCTACTAAAAATACAAAAATTTGCTGGCATGGTGGCATGCCCCTGTAGTCCCAGCTACTCAGGTGGCTGAGGCAGGAGAATTGCTTGAACCCGGGAGGCAGAGGTTGCAGTGAGCGGAGATCACGCCATTGCACTCCAGCCTGGCGATAGAGCGAGACTTCATATCAAAAAAAAAAAAAAAGACTGTAGTTGTATATAAAAATGCTACATTGTCACTTATTACCATTTTTGGATTTTCTAAAATATAGAGTAAGAAATATGTGTATATGCACACGTGCATTTGGGCAACTATGTAATGTCTCTATAGTTGTTCAAATCCAACTGGCCATGCTGGGGTATGAAAAGCTTTCGACACAAGAAAGGGAGACTGAGCAAGCAGGCTTCACTGTCCTGAGACATGCTATGAATATATAAGAAAGTAGACTTCAGTGAATAACCATTGAATGGAATACCCATTAGAAAGATAAGCAATTTGATATTTCACTGTGTTAATAACAAAGGTGGGTCAGGCTTTAGGGATGGAGTTTCGACTGTATAATAAAACAGGACTTTTAGCAATGCCTGGTTCTTTTCACTAGCTGATTTTTTCTCACTTTCTACAAGGCCACCCACCCAGTTATACATCAGAGTCAAAGAATCATTGAATTTTAGAGTTGGAAGAGAAGTTGGCATGAAAGAATGGTTGCGAGTGAAAGTTCTATTGAACTAGACTATGTCTGCAGCCAAGCAAAGGGCTAGACTCAAAGAATAAATGCCATTCACTACACTCTTCTAGACCAGGGAGTCTGTTTGGTTGAATATGTTTCCTCTAAGCTTTCAGTCTCAACCCCCAGTTACCTTCAAGCTTTTGAATGCATAGAGTCTTAGGAGTCTAGTAGACATAGCCTCTGCCTCTGGGGTCATTTGCTGCTACTTTTTTGAGCTTTATAATAACAGGGCTTTCTAGCATGCAGAATTTCTGGCAAGACGGCCAAGATGGGCCAGGGCAAGAAAATGGCCAAGCCATTGGACTGACCATCTAAAGAGGGAGGGGCCACTCAGACTCACTGGGAACACTGCCATGTTAGGGTAAGCCCTTCTTACCTCTGAAATATTGATCCGGCCCTCCTGGAAGGAGCAGGTGGTGGGGTCATGAGTGCAGAGGTTGCGGTACTTGCACCAATGGCAGCGGAAGGCGCTGTTGACACAGGACAGGCACCTGCAAGGACAGAGATGGTGAGAGGCAAAGAGAAGAGAACAAAGAGGGAAGGTGGCATGTGTCATGATAGAAGTCTGTTAACCTGTGTTTAAATCCTAGTCTCATTCTCAGGAGGGAAGACTGGTGGGCCATCCTCTAGCACCAAGAATTGTGGATTCTCCATCCATGATATTCATGGGAACAGAAAATTGGAAAGAAAATGAGACCAGATAAGAGTATAACTGACAAAGCAGGGGTGTGCTTCTATAAGCTCATGAGAACTGATTATTCACATTTTCAGGAATTTTGCAAGCTGATAGACATCATGGTGGTAGTTTGAAATCGGCCATGGTGGAAATAGTTGCGCCACAGAATTTGGCAATGCTGCAAACTAGGTTTTCTTCTGAATGCTGGTAGCTAAACAGTTCCCAATATTTCACTGCTTGTAAAGACAGGGTAGCCGGCAGAGTACAGGGACAGGAATTGGGCATATCTGATTATAGACTTGCTTCTGCCACTGCCACTGGGGTCACACTGAGTAAGTCACTTCACCCTCTGAATTGGAGTATCTTCATCCGCCTGTAATAAAACATTCCTGTCTATGCCACAGGGCTGTTTGGTGTCAAATGAGATAATGCATAGAAAATGGTTTCGAAAAATGCCATGCTAAATGTGAGTATTATTGTCAAGCGCTTAAATTACCTGTTATTTCAACCTCTTAAATAACATTTGAGTGTTAACAATTGGTTCATATCATCTGTATTATTGGGCTTGGGGGAGCTAATAGTATTAAGTAGTAACTTTGTCCCACTCCCCCAGGCATGGAACAGTAGGATATGTGTGTGGTATGTGCTTTTCTTGCCAGGGTGAGCACTTCTTTCCTTCCAATTTCACCTGGAGACTGTGTATATTCTTTTGGCTCTCTGTGTGTGATCAGGTCATTGTAATGGAAATGGGTTTTGTAGGGGGGATTAGTCTTGCTCCTCCTCGCAGCCCCCTTACTCTATCTAGTCTTTCACAACTAGGCCAACCTGGAATGGACAGGACCAGGTCTGCAGTCTGGCGCCACCTGGTGGGGCTCTGATTACATTTGGGTGGTTGGGGCTTGATCCAGGGGTCACCGGCTCACAGGCCATAGTATGTTGGGTTGGTTAGCCCATTTACACTTCATCTTCCCATTCAGAGCATTTTTATCCCATTCTCCATTGCCCAGACTTTTTTAGTTTCTGAGCTTCATGCTATCTCATGTACTCTCAGATAGACTGGTTCTTGGTAACATCTTATGATTCAGCAAGTAAATAATGAAAATGGACCAAGGGCCTAAGGAGGATGGTTATTGGGGCTCTAGCTAGATGTGGCTCTTCCGCTGGCTACTTTTGTGACCTTCATTGTAGCACTAATCTTTCTGTGGGCCTCAGTTTACTTTTATTACAGCAAATTATTAAAAGGAGGGGACTATACTTGATTCCATGAATTTTAACTGAATTCCAGTAGAGAAGGGCAAGAGAGGCAGTGTTTGGCATTAAAATGGAATCTTTGCTGTCAAGGAGACCTGCTTTTTTTTTTTCTGTTAAAACTTGCTGCCTGTGACAGCATCTGTGTTGCCATAGCAATACATCTTTGAAAGTGGTGACATCATACTCTGTTGCCATGGAGATAAGATTGCTCTCACAAACAATGGATTCCATCACCACCATGTTGGAGTTTGAGAAGGAGGTAAGAAGTTCTGTTGCCCAGATGCTTGCCATTCCCAAAGCAGGGTTTGCTGGGATTCAAATGCAGTGGTTAGAGGGCAGCTTTGTCTATTTCAACTTCAGTCCCTTTCTGCCCTCCCTGGTTCCCACCAGGCCATTTCTATCACTTGTTCTGTCTTTCTCAGCACATCTATTTATTTGTCCCAATGGGGCTCCTTCCTTGACTAATGTAGAGACCAAAGAACTCCAGAAGATTATTCTAATTATGAAAATCAAGTTCAGAAAAATGGAGAATAAGGAGGACTAGCTTATTTGCCTCTTCTAATGACTAAAGATTCCTTTAGGGTTTAGCTGCAAACAGACCCTCTTCCCATCTTGATTGCTGAGTCCTTCATGCCCATAGCTTGGACCCTACAGACTGGATACCCCTGAAGACCTGACTATGATGTGGATCCCAAGTGGTTCCTGCCTTGGACAATGGGAAGGATGAGTCCGTAAACATTCCGAATCACTGCCTCCTCTGATATGGAGCTGTTGATTGACCTCTCCCCTTGCTGAATGTCTAGGGTTTTTGGTCCTATGACCCTTATGTGGCTCTATTACAGAGGCCTGTGTTTCCTTCTTTCTAAACCAAATGGTGTATGAGTTCCCAGCTTCTGTGGAAAGGGTCTCAGTTTCTCTACCAGGGAGGATCAGCAGAAACTAAGTAGGGGTTTCACTCCCTCCATTTCTGCTTTTTCCCTGTGAAATGTTCCCAGCTTCTCACACAGTTGTGGGGTCTCATAGCGTGTGGGCACCAACTGGCAGGCATTCAGCTGCTGGAATGGCTGGTGAGGTCCGTAGAACTAAAGTCAAGCCCCACTGAAGGCTGTGGTTTGGCCTGTCTGGTTTCCCTTCCTCTTGAAAATATTGAAGGATGGATTTAAAAAATGATGGAGTGAAGGCCTCTGCTCCACCTCCCCATCCAGGTCTTTTTATCATGTGCTGAGAGAGGCTACTTTCCCCCTTCCCTGCTCCTCCTCTGTGGGTGACTGTGTGCATAGCCGAGTCGCTATCTCGGAGTCCCTCTTCATCTGGTTGTGGGTGACATGTCCATACTCCACTCACTGTCAGCCTCTACCTTCAAAGTCACCACCAAGTGATGGAAAATGAAGAACTTTTTTTACGGTTCCTGTTCTCTGACTCTCTTTTTACTATCTTGGCCTGAGAGTTGGGGGTTAGGTGTGTTGGGGTGGCATCCAAGGATTCAGAGACTATAGAGAGTAAATACCATTTGGTTTAATATGGTAGTATTTATGTACAGTGTACTCTGTCCAAACAAAGTGTCAGGCCCCATGGGGAAACTGTGAGGTGACTACAACGTGGTTCCTGCCCTAAAGGAGCTTAGCATCGAGGGGAAGAAAGCCCATACCCACATCCAGACCCAGAGCAAGACCCTTTCTAATAAGCACTTACAGTTGGTGGGCACTGCAGTTGTAAAACTTGAACTCGGTGCTGACAAATATCTTCCCTGTCTCCTTGGACCTCAGCTGTAGCTCCAGCCCAAACCAGTCTGGAAAAACAAACAAAAAAGGATGGGGTTGGGTAACAACGTGGGGGACCCAGTGGACAGCCACAAAAATAAAATGTAAGTCATGAAGCCACCACAGGGCTCTCTTAGGATGTAGATACTATGTGGAACCTGCCTGAATCGTCTCTTCTCCTCCCAAGGAAGCCTCTTTGGGTAAATACCAGCCCACCCCTCAGACCCAGACTTCCTCTGCCTGCAGGGAGGAAGAAGCAGATTCCACGGAGCCCCTTGCCTTTGTCAGTCATGTTCCATTACTGAAAGGATTTCAGAAATATTAGGTCTGAGCCCCCAGTTCTGTGGAGAGACCTGCTAAAAAACTACTGATGGAAGCCACTCCATTCCTAGGAGGGACGGGCTATCTGGAAAGACGCTGTGTTCTGTGCAGCCTTAACTCAAAGTGGAGCAAGTGTTTTCTTTCCTGAAATTCACTTTGGGGCATGACAGTTTGCTTTCAAACGTAAACAAGTTGTCTAAGCCAATATTAGTATCTGGTATAAGAAGACTGTGTGCCTAGTTCTTGTGACCCCCAGCTCCCTCAGTATAGAGAAGCCCCTCATTTGTGGCTCTCATGGCAGATATTTCTTACCTTGATCCAGCGGGATGACAGGGACATCCTTGGGCCCAGGTGAGATGCAGATGACCTGGCTCCCGGACACCTGCCCCTCCACCTCTGTCAGGTTCCCAAAGGCACAGGCGATACCCGCAGATAGATCAGGAGCATCACTCACTACCAGGCTAAGCTGTGGGAGGAGCAAAGAGATGATGCCAAAGAAATGCCTCAGGAGACCTGGACTCCAGGTCCAGCCCTGCTGTGACCCACTTTGCTCACTGATCTCCCCTGACCTCATCTATAAAAGAAGGATGTTGGTCTAAGTGGTCTTCCAGCTTTGAACACTGAAGTTACAGTCATTAATTATTCAATGTGTGTAGGGTCAATGGTCTTTATTAATATTATTATTAATTAATGTTTCCATCTTCTCCAGCATTAGAAAGCCCTAGGGGTGGGGGCGCTAGAGGGAAAGGTACCAAAATCCATCTAAGCCCCTGTTCATTTTGACATGAAAATTAATTGCAAGGCACCACACAAACTTGAAAGCAAGTCCTGAGCCGAGCCCTTCACAGACAAGGCCTTAGCCATGGCTCATGGGAGTAAATATCACCAACCTGGAGGTTTACCAGGAGCTCACTAGGTTGGTGGAAGATAGCTAGCTCCTCACCTTGGCTGTCATTCATCAAGAGGCTGCTTCTAAAGGCTGCGTGTTCCCTAGAGTTTGTGCTTCTCTGTTCCATGTGGGCTCTCTGTTCTCTAGCAGCTCCCTTGAAATGGACCAGTAGGTTCATAAGGAGCTCAGGGGATCAGAGAAGTGGCCACCAACTGCTTGATGTCTGCTATTACCTATGGGTTCCAATCATCTAGGCCAGCGGTTTTCAGCTTTTTTGAATTTGAAGACCCTACTTTTAACAGTAAAAATATCACAGACTCTCTGAGGAATCTGTCGATTGAGAAAATATTCAATGGCAAAATGCTGCTCTAAATCCATTGCACTTTTAAATGAGTTTGTACTCAAATTACCACAATACAGCATCTAAGTGGTATTTGAATAGGTAAGAAAGGCGACTGGTTTCCTCTGCCCATGAGGTGTGCCCATAGGGTTCATGGTGGTGACATCTCGGTGGCCTCCAAGCTGAGGACCATGATGGCGTAGGTAGGTTTCCCTTTGTTTTATTTTTTAAATTTTTAGTAAAGACAGGGTCTCACTATGTTGCCCAGGCTAGTCTTGAGCTTCTGGGCTCAAGCAACCCTCTCCACCTCAGCCTCCCAAAGTGCTAGGATTACAGGCGTGAGCCACCGCGCCCAGCCTGTAGGTTTCCCTCTATCTTCCTATCAATACCCAGTGGTGTTATTTGCAGTGGGTTTCTCAGTCTCAGTGGGCATCACCTAACCTTTCCATACATTTGTTTGCTGCTGAATCTCTGCCCCAGTTTCGTTTCCATGGGGCCAAGAGACTTAGGTACAAACTCCCCTGTTTGTTTCCTCAGCTCCCTTGGAGCCAAAAGCTCCTGGTGGGGATGAATGAACTGAAATCTTGGAAGGTTCATTAACTAATTAACATTCGTGAATGCTCATAAAACCTTCAGAATGAAATAATAATGCAGGGCCTGAGGACATGAAATATTTTGGGTTGTACCTTGATAGATAGTTAAGGGCTATTTTATTCTCTTTAATATTCTCTTTAAGCATACACTGACTTCGAATTGAGGCAGTCTCTTTCTTGCTCTTATTCTTTCCTCTCTCTCTCTCTCTCTCTCTCTCTCACACACACACACACACACACACACACACACACATGCAACTCACAGATTTCTTTAAGAGTGCAGTGAGTGGAGAATTGTAAATGCAGCAGATACTAAAGAATGTGTTATTTGGTATTGGACTGCATTATGTTGCAGATGTTTGTTACTAAATGCAAAAATCTAGATTTACAAAACAGATCAATGGGTAATGAATTTGCAGGGAAACTGGAGAATGACTATGCCCTTTACAATAGGCATTGCCATACGTTTGCTATAAACATAAAGTCTCCTTACTGGATTTAAAGTCTGATCAATTTACAGATACTTGTGCAAGCGTGAATGGAGCACACCCACACAGGTGCATGCACTGTATTCCCTCTCCCCATGCCCCTGGATGAGTTACTTACCAACCGGCTGTGCTCAGATACTGAGATGCTGCTGGGATGCACTGCAAGGCTCACACACTGGCTGATGCTGGCAGCAAATCGATTAGGTTCCCAGGCCTGTTGGCATTTGTCCCTGCGGGAGCACCTGCCATAAACACAGATTCACAAGAGGTCAGGCCTCTGGGACCCATCTGTTTGGCTCCATTGTCCCCTGGGCAGGATGGGAGTTTGCTGCCCTGAGGCCTGTGTCCTGTCTTCTCAAGAAGACTTTTACTGTACTCCGGAGGGCCTTGGTGACTCTCAGACAGTCTCCGTCGCAGTTAAGGACAGACTGAGAGGGAAGAGGATTAATCCCCAACATGAGAGATCCAGTTTCGACACAAAGAATTAACAGTGGAGGGTGTTCAGGTTCTTGATGTCTTGAACAAAGAATTGGACAAAACGCACAAACAAAGCAAGGAAGGAATGAAGGGATTTATTGAAAATGAAAGTTCACTCCACAGTGCGGGAGCGGGCCTGAGCATAGGGGCTCAAAGGCCCTGTTATAGAATTTTGGGGGAGTTTAAATACCCTCTGCTTGGAGTATGTCTTATGTAAATGAAGAGGATGAAGTAAAGTTACAAAGTCATTTACAGCCAGTGTACGCCTATGGAGAGGATATTTTCTGTCAGAGCTGAAGTGTGAATCAGCCTTATGTTCCCTGCCTCCAGACCCTGTTTTCCTGCCTCAGAATGACTCTGTTATTTTTGTTTGTTTGTTTTTTTGAGACAGAGTCTTGCTCTGTTGCCTAAGCTGGAGTGCAGTGGCAGGGTCTCAGCTCACTGAAAACTCCACCTCCCGGGTTCAGGCAATTCTCCTGTCCCAGCCTCCTGAGTATCTGGGATTACAGGCGCCCACCACCGTGCCCGGCTAATTTTTATATTTTTAGTAGAGACGGGGTTTCACCATCTTGGCCAGGATGGTCTCAAACTCCTGATCTCGTGATCCACCTGCGTCAGTCTCCCAAAGTGCTGAGATTACAGGTGTGAGCCACCGCACCTGGCCCTAGAATGACTCTTTACAGCACTGTGGGATGCTGAGACCACAGAGTGAGGGCAGCCTGTGGGACCTGAGAAGCAGCACAGCCATGGAAAAGCAAATGAACTTTGGGGCCAAAGAGCCTGGGTTCCAACCTCAGACCTGTTACCTACTAGCTGCGACCCCTTGGACAAACTACTTAATCTCTCTCTGCCTCAGTTTCCTCAACTGTAAAAAAAAAATAAGGATTGGCCAGGCATGGTGGCTCACACCTGTAATCCCAGCACTTTGGGAGGCTAAGATGAGGAGGATTGCTTGAGCCTATGAGTTCAAGACCAACCTGGGCAACATAGTGGGACCCCATTCTAAAAAAAAAAATTAGCTGGGTATGGTGGCACACGCCTCTAGTTCCAGTTACTCAAGAGGCTGAGTTGGTTAGATTACTTGAGCGCTGTAGTGAGCTGTGATTGCACCACTACACTCTCACCTGGGTGACACAGTGAGACCTTATCTCAAAGAAAAAAAAAAGGAGGAGGAGGATGATAATACGTATTTCACAGGGTTGGTGTAAGAATTAAAGGAGTTAGTGCTTAGAAAATGGCCTGGCGCATAGTAGGTGCCATGACAGTGTTAGCCCTTATAATATTAATATTAATGATGCTGATAATGATTCATATTATCATTTTCCTCCAGAGAAATTTTTAAGAAAATAGGAGAGGGTCTTGGCAGTGTGGGACAGTGTGCATATGATCTTGTGGGTGGATTAATGGCTATTTGAAGGCAGTGGCCATGTTTTATTCATTGGGATATTCTACCTGTCACATGGTATATTTTAAATAAATGTTTGTGTCACGAAATAATGCCTTGAGACAGAGAGACAGACAAGGCGCTGCAGCCAGGGCTGCCTCTGTCAGAAAGCTTGTTTGGCTGTTTCTCCCAACATCTTCATCTCGGGCTCTAGGCTCCCCTGCCCACAGTAGCAGGTGGGCAGGTGACACCAGCACTCGGGAGCTTCAGGTTACTGTCTGCCTTGTCACATGGAAACCCGCTCCACGGCTGGTGCCAGCGTGTCCAAACCAAATAGCCATCGGGACACTAGTGATTCCACAATCAAGCAGTGATTCGCACCCTAACTCCCTCCAAACTCCTCCCCCTCTTCCTTTTCAGGCACATAATGGATCTAAATATGAATGCTGTCAAAGAAAAGAATTATTGAGGTTTAAGTGAATCCTTAAGATAGCTCTAAAGTGAGCTCTTGACTGGAGCCTTTATCTCATTGACTCACTGAAATGGCTCTTTTTTATCATACTATTTATGGCAACAGCCCTAACAGAGATAAATAGCCTTGGAGACAATAACACACTTGCAAGAGCAAGGCATACAGAAGAGACAGGAAGGCTTCAATTCCCCCCAACCCCTCAGAGGCTCCTCAGCCCTCGGCCTCCATTAAAGAGGCCACCGTGGGGACCCGGGAGCTGCAGCTTCCCCCATCTCCTCACGCCTGATACCAGGCTGCTGCTTGGCAGGTGGGAGAGCACTGCAGGAGGGTCTGGTGAAGAAGAGAATGACCAGATGCAGAGAAACCTCTGGGTATAAACAGCAAAAATCTTGTTCTCCGCGAGCTCTTGGGGCGGAGAAGCTGGGAGATGAGTGTCCTGGTAGGTAGGGAGGATTCTCTAAAGAGTTAAGGAGTTAAGGGGACAGAGGAAACCTGGGACTATTCTGATGTGGCTAATTCCAGCAGTCACGGCTGACCTGCACCAGGAGGAAGACCAGGTGGTTTGCGGCAGCGGGGAGGCCCAGGCATTGCTGATAGATCTATAGGCACTTGTTCAAGATGGGGAAAACAGACGTCCTTGCTGTTGAATAAATGATAATCCCCGATCTATAATTTTGGTGTGTTCGACATGGGAGAAGTGCCACAGGCACTGAAGCTGGGAGGACAGAGTGGCGGAGGCATGGGGAGTAGGAGGTACCGCTGGACATGACCACTGCAGAGCTAGAGGGCAGGCTGCCCAGGGCCCTTTGCACAGAGCTGGCAGCAGGCTGTCAGGTTCTTTGGAGAAAGAAATTCTCTCGAGGAAAGACCCTGCCTGCTGGCTGGTGGGTCAGCCTCACTGCAGGGAACCAAGATTTACCCCCTTTTGCCATTCTGGGGCACAACATTAGCATCTTTACCACTTGTCTGACCTAAATGGAGACACACTGTCCAGGTCTGCTAAGAGCATTTCTGCAAAACTTTCTGAGCAGTCTTTTACCTCCAAAACCCAAGCAGGGAACCCAGTATTCACGGGCTCAAATCCAGTCCAGATTTTGCATCTGTGAGGCACCAGCTTCCCTCCCTCCCTCCAGAGCCCTCCCAACACCTGCCGCAGAGGCTGGAAGCCAAGAGCTATTGTGCAGGACCCTGAACTCTGGCCCTCCGCCTCCGCCTCCACCCCAAACCCAGCTCATTTCATGGAGATGCTTTGCTAGCTGGCATGGAGCCCTGGAGTTTCCAACTCCATTGGGCAACAGAATTCCTAGCCAGCTCCTGTCTTTCGGGGTTTTCACCCTTTCTCTTCCCCTGGGGCTCTTCAAATTAGGAAGTTTAAGTGTGATTTAGCATTTATATTGAGTTGGTATTCAACGGCAGATCATGAGGCCAGTTGAAGTGAGATGTGAACTTCTTAGAATCATAAAATAATGAGACCAGAAGGGTCCTCCCAAGGGTATAGGGTCCATGATAATTATTCTGATTTGTGTAGCCTTTTCTGGGCTTCCTTATTACCAAAGCATTTATTATTTCATTCAGTCTTCACAATTCACCTGTGAAATAGGCATTTTCCCTAAACAGCAATGGAGAAACAGAGGCCTGGAGTTGTCAGGGGACCCATCCAGGGTCACACAGCAGCTAGCTGGAGTCTAAACCTCCCAATGCCAGTGCACCACCATCTGCACACTCTTGGCACAGAGGGGCACCCATTTCAGGCTACACTGAAGAAGTTTTGGGGAAACCTAAAGACTACAGTATCCCTTGTGAGTTCTTTCAAAGACACAAGGATATAAGCACCTCACTTCAGAGCAGCTGAAGGGCTGAATTTGGAAGTAAAATGGAAGAAGAGAGGCAAAGACCCTGCACTTAGAAAGAAGGCCCACCCATGGCCTCTTTGCCTCTTCCTGCTCTCAACACTGAAGCCACGATTAGAATTACTGCTCTGAAGAGGACAATTCCTCTCTCTGCAAAGTACTGTCATATCCCATCATTCCCGGAAAGCCCCGGTCTTCTGCATGCCAAACCCTTTTCCAGTATACCCCAAACTTACATGTTGTGCAGGGCACACCAGCCACAGTGAGGGTCCCCAGAGCTCAGGCACTCCCCACAAGTCGTATACTGCTCACATGACTCCACGGGGACCCTGGTGACCTGGCAGAGAGAGCAAAGAGGGTACAGTGAGGTTAGGCTGTGACGACTAGCAGGTGTGTGTCACACAGTCCTGTGTGTACTCACACTTGCACTGTCAACTCCCCTAAAGAGGTGATACTGGGCGGCAAGTCATGGCCTCAATGTCCCCAATCTCTTTACCTGCATAAGGCAGGTAGGCTAAGCCGAGTGTGTCTCTGAGTGGCAGCCCTAAGACTTCTTGCCTTCGCGAGAGGTAGCAGCAAAGGCTCCATCTATTTCTGCCCTCCACTAGCATCCTCCCGAGAGCTGGGCAAGCCAGTGGCAAGTACTGAAAATGGTTAACTCTGTTGAAAGGCTATTGAGTGGCACAAACTCATCTCTGAAGAGCTTTCAGCTGGGCTTGGGCTGAGACATCCTGCCTACACAGAAAACATTCAAAAAGGGAAAGGAGAAACTTTTCCCATCAAATAATATTCATAGTATGGTACAGACTCTTTACAGCCAACCAAATATACCACCTGGATCCAATTATCCCATTCTCTGATGTCTGCATTCAGTTTCTCTAGTAAATCTCCCATCCTTTGAAAAGTCTGGCTAAATGGGAACATCCACAGAAAAGAGCTGCCTGATTCAGTCTTGCCTGGAAAGTGGGAATTTGTAGATCAAGACCCTGCCCCCCAGAGAGTGTAGCCCTTGCACACTCCTCCTGGTCTTCTGCTGGGGCCCTGCAGGGGCTTGAGCTGGGCCTGTCTGGATATTACTCACCCCTACTTGCACAGCAGGGGTGAAAATAAAGACCAGGCAAGGGGGCCAGAGGACTGAAGTGTTCCAGTTGATATGTCCTAGGTATCTGTTGCTGGCTGGGGCAGGAGGCTGCTGGGCTGCAAAAACATTTGCTGTGCTGGGAATGGGTTCTTATTTGTTAGGGCATAGAGGTCCCCCACCTACCAGATGTGTAAAAAGTAAAAACATAACCTGTGGTCCAGTAGCACAGTGTTCTGCCTCTGGCAGGGGGACAAAAGATATGACGGAGACATCTCCACGGCATCCTCCTGAGAGGTTCAGGATGGATCCTAACACTGTTCACTCAGCAAATGTTTATCAGATGTCAACGCTGTGGAGCTCTGGTGCTATGCAACAGAGAAACGACAGCGAACAGCACACAGATTCTGCCCTCCCAGAACCCTACGGTCCAGTGGGAGTTGGTAATGACAAACCGAGACTTGCTCTACATTGTGCTGAGTTTTTGTTGTGTGGGATTGCTGTGAGTGCTGAAGGTTTGGGGAACTTAGCGAAGAGGTGACCAGTGGTGTAGGGGTGCCTTGAAGGGTAAGAGGGGGTCAGATGCAGAGACCTGGAAAGACATGCCAATCTGAAGGATTGTGATGAGCGAAAGCGATCATGGATAAGTTCAGTATAAACTTAAGTGTAGGGTGTACAGTGGGTGGGAGGGGAGAGAGATGAGCCTGCCTTTCCTCTCTTGGGTGTCCCCACCCATCCTTCCTACATCATCACACTTAACATTGCATATATGAGGCTTTTCTGTAAGTCAGTGACATGATCAGCTTTAAACATCCCTCACCTCCCTTTAATAATAAAAACATGAAATGCAGGGAGATGAGTGTAAAATCTTGCAATTTAGCTTTAAAAAAGACTGGTACTATAAGTTTAAGACGGGGGATAGCTGATTTGAAATAGTTCAAGTGTGATAGACCTAAGGGTTTGAGTTGACTCAAAGTCAACTCAACTCAAAATCTGATGTGACCTGATAGGGTGAGGTGATAACGAAAGAAGCTAATCTGACCATGGGCTGCATAAATAGACACACAGCATCAGGGTCGAGAGAAGCCACCCCCCACTGTGGAGTCCGGAGTTCAGGTCTCCGCAGCCTGCCCTAGGAGAGGCGTTGCTCAACCAGAGATCCTTCCTGGAGGGTGGCCAGGATGGGGTGGGATGCAGCAGATGAACCTGGGATGTTTATTTAGTCCAATGAAGAGTCTCAAAGTAGTCATGCAGGCTGTTTTCCAGTGTTCGAAGGGGAGCAGTATGGCTGCAGTGGGACTCATGGGTGAAAAGCTCAGAAAAGCTCAACATCATGCAACCGCCTGGCTTTCCAAAGGAACGCCTATCACAGGGATGCATAAGCAGTCAAGGTGACATTCGTCCCAAAGGCTGGAAGAAAGGATTTCTGCCCTCAGAGGAAGGCTACATTAGTCCCTGCCAATTCTGACATTCCAGCCTTCTATTTCCCACAGTTTCCCTAACTCCTCCTTGAGACTGTTGATGATTTTTGTCCTGTACAACTCTACAGTTAAAAGATAACATGCAGCCACCACCACCACCACCAATTCACACCGCCTTAAAGAATAACCCTTGAACCCTGCCTCATGGCCCACGATGCCTACAAGAAACACCTTTCAGACAGGTATCTGCCGGAGACCTTCTAGTGTACGTCTCCCAGGCCTGGTGACTATCAGCCCTCTGGGATAACAGAGACCCTGGCTGCCTGGGAGGCTTCCGCTGGCCCCCTCCAAACCACTCTCTGAGGCCTGAGAATGGTGGTCCAGTGCCTAGCCTCCTTTTCTTGGGTTTCGGGCTCCTTGTGAGGGATGTCTGCATCTGGCTGCAAATTAAAACAACTGTCTGCATTGCATTCGGCCCGTCTGTCAAAACACAGCCCAGCCCTCAGCAGCTGGGAAAAGGGGCCCTGAATGGGAGCAGTGTCTCCAGCAACAAAGCCCACTTTCACGCCAAGTGCCACGGAGATAGTGAAACCCTGTTCTTCTCCAAACATGAAACCAATAGCACAACTATTTTTCCTGTTTCCTGGGCCCTCCTGGTGATTTTTTTTTTTTTTAATGCACTGAGTTGAAGAGCAAAGTGAAACAGGAAACTTGTAAGTTGGCAGGGGTGGAGGGGGGGTGGTCTAAAACTTGAATTATTCTGTCCTCTAAGATGTAACAGCCACACACAAACCAGAGGAAAGAAATGTCACAGTGACCGGGTGGAGACCCTCAAAGTCAGATGTTCCCAGGAGCCTCCTCTGTCTCTTATATTCATGTGCTTCTATATTCATTTGTCAGTCAATATTCATTGATTGTGTCCTCCATCCAGGCCAGTGCTAGGCACTTCAGAATAAAAACAACGACAGCATTAAAACACAACTAGCACCTTCAAGTTGCGAACAGGCTAGCAATAAAAAGAAGAAAGCGATACGTGTTCTAAGACAAGTATTCAAAGAGGGCTGAGGGAATTCAGAGCAACGAGAAAACACTGCCTGCATCTGTGCTGCCCAGTACAATAGCCACTAGCTTCATGCGGCTATTGAGTTTGAAATGTAGCTAGGACAAATTAAGATGTACTGTAAGTCTACAATACACACTGGATTTGGAAGATTTAGAGAGGAAAAGAAAAAAGGGAAAAAATTACATCAATAATTTTTATTGACATGTTGAAGAGATATTTTGCTTATCTTGAATTAAATGTATTATTAATTTCACCTGTTCTTCTTCCTTTTTGAAATGTGGCTACTAGAAAAGTTAAAATTACACATGTAGTTCATGCTTGTGGCTCATATTTTATTTCTATCTGACAGTGCTGCCCTAAACGGAGTATACACAGTATGTGTCCGGGCCTTAAAAGGTGAAGAATATTTAGACAGATGAAGAGCATTCCAGGTGGAAAGAACCATATAAGCAGACACTGGAAAGCAGGGTTTCTTCAAACACCTTTGGTGAGGGCAAGGGAGGGATGGTGCAAGTCTGGATATGTGAGTCTGGGTGACCATGGGAAGAACTGCAAAGACCACAGAGCTGGAATATGTGATGCCTCCAAGCCTTCTAGCCTTGGCCAAAACAATGTCCTCCATGAGGCAGGTCTGGGGCCCTCAAGGAGCAATGGCCCTCAGTGTATGGTTCTCAAACCAGCACCATTGGTGTCACGTGTGAGATTACTGAACATGAAAATCCAGGGTGCACTAAATCAGAAACACTGGGGAAGAGGTCCAGGAAATGGGTCTTAACAACTCTCCAACCGATTCTTACGCAGGCCAACCACTGATATAGATGACTCCAGCTCTCCGAGTGGGTCTTTTTAAATGTTAGGTCCTGGGGCCAGGAAGAAACAGAATATCACTCTTCCTTGGTGCTATGGAAGGAATTAGAGGGATTTTAGGGGTGTAGGGGAAGGCAACAGTGCTCTGGGGACTACTTTATGCCCAGTGAGAAATTGGTTCTAATCATTCTGCATCTATGAAGTCCATAAAGGACCAAGTTCAAGCCTCCGCAGTCAGGAGCCACTTCACTTTGTACCCCAGGTGACAGCCCAGCACTTGTTCTAGGGCTGGGTCGGGTGGGGAGGGAGATGTCTTCAGAAACTCAAGAAGGAAAGGGAGCTTTCTCCTGGAGAGTGTCCACCGCGTCGGGCGCCCTCTGTCAGGGCTGACTCAGAGTTTAACGGGACACTCTATGACACTTTAATTAGCATTTGTTTACTATTATTGCATTTTAATTATGCCTGAGGCTCCTTGGCCCCCTCCACTCTGAGTGCTGGGATCTGGGGGTGGCTGGGCTGGCAGGTGAGTGTGGCAATGGGAATTATACAATGGGAGGCCCTTCTCCTGCCCCCTATGGCCTTCTCCCCAGGACCCGCAGTGCTGCTTCAAACTGGATTCCACCCTCATGCTTGACATTCTTTTCTGCTTGATCTTATGGCTTGTAATTACACCTTTAATGAATATAACTGTCCTGTTAAGTCATTTACTTAAGAAATACTCTTATTTAAAGGTGACTCACACTGTGTTCTTGGCTCTCCTGGCCCCGGGGCCCCGCGTCTCTGGTGCCTTCCTTGGCCTGATTCAGCGGGGCTGAAGATACATGTGGGAGGGACTTGGCAGGGAGTGCAGAGTGTGGGGCAGTTTTCCTTCCCTGACCAACTCTCTCAATTCAGCACACGAGTAGCCCACAGAGTGTCAGGCCCAGTATAGCCAGACACATTATCAGATAATTATTAGAGGCAGTGGGGACAAGTCACTGAGGGAAGCCACTGGACCCAGCCTCTTTCCTGAAGGTCTTGAAAAGCATGGCACACCTGTAGTGTTTGGACCATCCAAGGTAAGGCCAGGAAAGCCTCAGAGGCCCTAAGAGTGAGTCATCCTGGACAGAGCCCCTGGGCAGTTACTCCCATCAGGAGCAGACACATCACCCTTTCCACAGAAGAGTTTCCCAATGGTAGGCATAAGAACAAGCGCCCTTTGCCAAGTGAGCCTGGGGACAGAGAATCAACACTGCATCTCTGCCACCCTATATGGACACCTGGAAGGACCCACATGGTTCTGAGCTCTTCTATGGCTCTTCTGGAGAAACGCCTGAGGTGAAAGCAGAAAACCTCACATGATTCTGACAGTGGATCATGCCGGAGGCCCATTTAGTCCTTAAACATCTACTGAGCACTTACATTGTACTCAACCCTCTGTTAGGCATCAGGGCTACATTCTCTTCCCTCCTGGAGCCCATGGTTCAGTTGAGAACAAAACCAAGGAAATAGATAATCTCAATATGGTAGGACAGATGCCACAATAGAAGTAGAACCAGGACCGTCGTGGCTCAGAGGACAGAGAGTGGCAGCTCACCTCAGGGGGCTCTGGCAGGAGCACTCAGTGTTCAAGCGATCTGCAAGATTTCTTTGCAATCATGCAAGAGAGACACAGAGGGATGAAAGGAACAAGGGAAAATTGTTCCCCAGGCTGGTGGGCCCCTCCAAGATTGAGAATTTAATCTCTTTCTTCCCTGGAATCTTCCCTGGAATCTTCCCTGGAATCTGCCCTGCCAGATGGTACACCTGTCCTCACACGTGTCCCCTGCTCCTGACACAAGGGAAGAAACAGAGGCCTTCTCAGTGGCTGGGAGCCAGGTGGCAGGGGTGGGAGGTGGCACAGATGCCCGAATGGAGCACCAGTTGGCCTCATCAACAGCCTCCTGGTCCTCAGGGCTCAGGGCAGAGCACACAGCAGCTGAAGCTGATGGAGCTGGCTCCCTGGGCCTCTCTCCTTTCCTTTTTACCTTCTCTTGGTGGTCCCTCCCTGCAGGCCCACCCCTTCACCCCTTCAGGTTTATAGGGTCTCAGAGCCACTTTCTTCTCTTTCCCCCAATCCAAACCTGTTTTCAAGAAAAGATCTGACACTCATTTACACACACAGCTGATGGTGGATTGAAGAGAGACCCCTGCTGGGGCTGCTGTATGGACAGAGATCAATAACGCAGTCACAGCAATCCTGGCAGAGGGTTTTGGCATTTTTGAAATGCTTTCACACACATTATCTCATTTGATCTGCACAACTCCCCAGAGAGGAAGAGAGGACAGGTATTGTTATGTGTTATGATTTTCACTGGATCTACTGAGAAATTAAGGCCCCCAAAGAGCGCTTAAGTCCTCACTTGCAGTGAGTGGCAAAGTGGCCAACTGGAGGAGAATCCTCCACGGCCCATGATGGGACTGACTGTTCGCTCTTCTCAGATATACTGCAAGGGCTCTTTCTGAAGGATGAGGAGGGAGAAGGTGGCCCAGGAGTCCACTGCGAGATCCGAGGCAAGAGCAGAGCGGGGATCAGGAGGCTTGAAGCAACCTGAAGGCAGGTGAGGCTTCTGCTTCTCTGCACCCTACAGCTCCTAGTACCCAGTAGCTGTTAACTGATGGAATAAATGGGTGGGTGGAGTTTTTCTTCTTCACAGGCTTGCACCAAATCTTGTAAGCCCTTCTGTAAATGGGTGCAATTAACATGGAGATGTTGATTTTCTGTAGATTTTCTGCCTGGCAGCCTAGTGTACTATGCTTCCCTTGACACTCATTCAGAGTCCTCACAGGGAGAGAAATGTGGGCCAATGTTTGGGGAGGCCCAGTCCTGCCCCTGACCCTGGCCTTATTCTCTCAGGCAGAGAAGCCAAGGTAGACCCTCTGGGGAAAGTCCAGGCCCCCTCCCTCCTGACATGCCTCTTACTCCATCCCCTTTGGCTCAGCAAGTCTCCAAAGAAAAATTCCCACACCACTTTCTGTCCTTCAGCAGGAAAGAGCTGATGTCTACTGGATGCCTGAAGCAACACCTTAATCTCAATCTCCCCTGCTGGGAGCAGGTGAGGGAGGCAGCAAGGAAATCATGTCCCTTTGGATCTGCTGCCTAAGGTTCTGGGGGAAGTGATGGGCACTGAGGTCTCCTGACAGCTGGCAGGCTCCTGGCTGGCCCCACCTTGCCCTGAGCTGGGCAGTGGACCGAGCTTGTTGAATGGATTGAAGCAGCAGGAACAATAATAACAACAGCTGCATGTATCCAGTATTTACCGCATGCCAGGCACGTCACATAGATTACCTCATTTAATCCTTACACCAACCTTTCCAGGGAGGTATTCTTAGTCCCATTTTACCTATTAGAAAACTGAGTGTCAGCTTAAGTAACGCAGGTAAGGTCATATCCTTTGTAGGGTAACAGAAACAAAATTGGTGTCTAAGTTTGTTTAATTCCCACACAGATGCAGCGGGGTCCAGACAGACAGAGGCAAGGACTGCAGAGGGAAGGCCCCTTCTCCTGGAGCTGCCCCAAAAGCGGCCACCGGGGCCATTCTTCTTCCTAGAAAGAACATCTTTCTGCTTCCTAGTCAAGCTGCTGGACACTGCAGGTCAGGTTCACCCGCCTGACCACTGCAAATCTCTTAGCTCATTTTACTCCCCTCTGTTTTCTAACAGTGATTCAGCTGGGTGAATCAGGAGCCAGACAGCAAGAGAGGTGATACCAGAAGGTGAAGAGGGACATAGATTGGGAAGGGTGAAAGATTCCCTAAGGGATTTTTTTTTAAACGACAGTCTTGTTCTGTCACCCAGGCAGGAGTACAGTGGTGCAATCACAGCTCACTGCAGTCTCTACCTCCCGGGCTCAACGGATTCTCTTGCCTCAGCCCTCCTGAGTAGCTGGACTACAGGTGTGTGCCACCACACCTGGCTAATTAATTTAATTTAATTTAATTTATTTTTTTTGGAGAGACAGAATCTCCCTATGTTTCCCAGGCTAGTCAAAAACTCCTGGGCTCAAGGGCTCTCCTACCTCTGGCTCCTAAAATGTTGGGATTACAGGTGTGAGCCTTTGCACCTGGCTGGACTTCTGTTTTTAAGCTTACTAGGACCAGAACGATAATGGAAGAGGCTGTGAGCAGGCTCCACGTTTTCCATCTGAGCTTCCTACAAAATGTCACCAAGCCCTCTGTTAGCACAGCTTGGGTAGTGGCCGCAGCAGAAGTTTTCTGTCCCGGTCTTGCCAGTGATCAGCTGTGTCGCCATGGGCACTCCGGTTATGCCTCAAGCCCTCATCTCCTTATTTTGAGATAAAGACAATATCTGTCCCACCTATCTCTGGGGCTCATCAGGAAGCAGAACACCTCTGAGCCCACACTTTCAGCTTAGGTTTTTCCTATGAATCAGCTTCACAGTAATTAATGTGAAGAACTCATTATTGTTTGTTCTCAGTGTTAGATCCATTTCTTTAACAATCAATAGTCATGCATTCAGATCCCCTTAAATTCTCATAAAGTAAATACCAACCCAGCCTCCTGCCTGTCCTCTGGGCTGTGAAAGTCACGTGATCAACACCATTAAGGAAAAAGAGGCACAAAAACCCCAGAAAAACAGCTGGAGGTTCCGGAGACTGTGATTGCAACTAAAGCAATGCACAACCTTCTGACCAGAAGCTGACCCCGGTGCTGTCTCCTAAGAACTCCTGACTATCTGGAGACCTGAGGGCGGAGTGCAGTTCAAAGAGAAAATCTATTTTTAATGACTTGGGGGAGAAGAGTAGAGTGGTTGAGTAATTCAGAGTAATTAAACCTATCTATCACTCAGAGAGAGGAGACCAAAGTTGGTTGAACTTTTCAATGACATTTTTTTTCCTCCTCATTCATAAAAACTCAGCAGAGGTCCTGCAGGAGTCAAAGGGGAGAGGACAATATGAAAAGAAACTTCTGGCCCCATACAGTGGAATTCAACCCTTGGATGAGTGCTGGGGCAGTGACTGCTCCTGAAACCTGTTTTCAGGTAGAGGCCATATTTTGTACTGGTTTTGCACTTTGAAGGGGACAGCCCTCAGTTTCCAATCCAGCTTCTGTGCTTATCAGCTGTATGACACTAAGTAAGATGCTGGACTTTCTTGAGCTTTAGTTTCCTTCTCTGTAAAATGGTGACATTGATATCCATTTCACAAGGTTGTTCTGAGGCTTACGTGATGTCTGTACATACTGACTTGCACACAGCTGGTGCTCAATAGTGGTAGTTACCATGCTCAGTGTCTAGATGCAGACCCCACTGAAGGTGGCAGTGCTAGCATGGAAAAGCTGCAGAGGGCCCTGGCTTTGCTCTTCTATGATGGGTGACCTTGCTGAAGCCACCCGGCCTCTTGGAGCTACGATTGTTTATCTATGACATGGGGAGAATTATGTCTGCCCTTTTGCATGAAGAGCCATCCAGCCCCTGTAACTGCCGTCTTTATTAAATAATCCCAGTGTTGGAAGTGTGCTGAAACTCAGGATCCTTGGCTGAAAGAAGTCAAATTAAGCTCAGCGTGCTAAGGATAGAGGTAAAACTTGGGCAAGGTAAAACTACAAAGAGGGTAGGAAATCTTATGGGCAAGGCAGATACTCCAAACATCAAACCATATTTTATCAGAGAAGACTCCCATGCCAGAAATACTAGGGAGGTAGAAGTAGGACCCTTTCTAGGAAGTTCTGGTTTTTGGAAGGACCTACAAAAAAAAAAAAAAAAAAACAGAGATGCTGATACTGTGTTGTCTCCATGACAACAGTGGATTTATTCAGTTAGAAAAAGCAGCTGGGATAGGAAATGGGGGATGAGGAGGCTTTGGGAACTAGGGCCTAAGAAATAACTAAAACAGACCTCTCATCTGGGGACCAGATGCCTGGGATTAGCCAGGTCCTACAAAGCTCCTTATAGGGTCCACATTGACTGCCCTACCCCAGGAGGGGGAAAGGTGATGATGGCATGGGGTGGGGTGATAAGGCAGGGATGCCCCCTACCTACTCATTCCTACTCATTCATTCCACAATGGTTGTTTGCCCAGACATGGTTCCAGTGAGGCCCCAGGACACACAGAGCCTGAGTCTAGCCTTACCACAGAGCTTGACTTCTTCCAAGAACTGGGCATCTGCCTAACAGGACCCCATCTCAGGGCCCTGCCCTTTTGATTTCTACTTCCCTTGCCTTCCAGTCTCCAAGAGAGCATGAAAGAAGGGTTTGGAATTCCAGTTAATCCCAAATGCTCTCTCTCTCTTTTTTTTTTTTTTTTTTTTTGAGATGCGGTCTTGCTCTGTTGCCCAGCCTGGAGTGCAGTGGTATGATCTTGGCTCACTGAAGCCTCAGGCTCCCGGATTCATGCAATCCTCCCACCTCAGCCTCCTGAGTAGCTGAGACTAGAGGCATGTCATGTGCCACCATGCCTGGCTAATTGTTTAAATTTTTTATAGTGATGGGGTCTTGCCATGTGGCTCAGGCCGGTCTTGAACCCCTGGGCTCAAGTGATCTGCCCGCCAGAGCAACTCAAAGTGTTGGAATTACAGGTGTGAGCCACTGTGCCCAGCCCCAAATGGCCTTTTTTAATGTAAAGTGCTTATGGCCTTTTTAAGCATAGAAGGTGAGGTTTGGAGTGGAAATCATCAGGGGAAGGAGCCCAAGAAGAAGCTGGTCAGACAGCTCGGGTAAGAGCATCTTTGCTGTTGTTGAATAGAAGGTTGAAGCCACCTTTAGTGTTGTCTGAGATGAGGATTCAGAATTTATGTTTGGGAGAATACTTTTATAATAGGGAAAGTGGGGCCTTTAGGACATCACTGCTCCTGAAAGATACTATAAAAATTAGCTCCCTCTGGCAAAGTCCCTGGCACTGCCTCCCAACAGAGCTCTAGTTTTTGCCTCTTGGTCCCCAGCAACACTTCCTGCTCTGCTGTTGGCATTTGTGGTTATTGATAATACGTGTGGGTTCTTAGGGATTCCTTGTTTTCTAATCTTCCATCCTTGATACTTCCCTTAGAATCTGTTTCCCCAGTTATGAAGGGACCCCACGTTGATGTTCCCAGGTCGTCTTTACATAAGGAGGACAGTGTCATCAAATGGTATGACACAGAATCAGATTTGGCAAAGCCTGACTGCCCAAGGCCTTCTTCACTGCACCAGGTCAACAGCTATGTACACAAGGAAGCAGGGAGCTAGCTCAGCATTATCCATAGGTGCCGGATCTGAGACCAGACTCTACCTCTCTGCCTAAACTGTTGTATGACTCTGAGTAGGTAAGAAGCCACAGGAACCTCATGCTGTAAAACAGAATTTTGGTTTTCAGCAAACACCATGGAATGCATCTTCTCCACTATCTCGCAGCTTTCCTTTCTAACCATCCAAAACTTGGGCATCTTGTCCTCTCTGACACATCAGACCCCCCGATAGTATTCTCTCTGACTTTTCTTGGTATGCTGAGTGACTGGTTCCCTTGGGCAGAACTATAGAGAATTGTCTTGTCCATCACAGCTTCCTAGAAGGCAGTGAGTGAGTAGATGAGTGTGTGTGTATGTGTGTGAAAGAGAGAGAGAGCGAGAGAGGGAAGGAAGGATAGAGGGAGCGGGAGGGAGATGGAGGATAAGAATATGTATTAAATCTCTGCCTAAGGGGAAACAAGAGTCTCCTATACTTACATTGGAACATTTTAATTTCCTTTTGGTATAGAGCTCATTTATTCATTCCTGCCATTCATTCATTCAACTCTGGCAAGGTGGTGATATGAGGCAGGAAAGCTCCTAGGCTTTGCTGGATCCAGTGCCTCTGTGTTGGTTTGGGAACCTTTATAGACTGGTCAGTTGGATCAAGACCATTCCATGGAGGCAGCAATGACCACATGGCCTCAGTGCTTTGTACCCAGGGGTTAGTCAGTGTGGGTTGATTGGCGTGACCTTGTGAATCTGCATTCTGATATATTTGATTTATCACCAAGTCAACCTGAATGTGGTAGAAATACACCGGGCACATATACTTTGTGCATTTGCTTGTTTATTCATTCATTTACTCAATCATTAGTCTATCCGCTGAGTTCATCCATTCATCCATCCATTCATCCACCAGACTGCTATATATATAAGTTGTATAAAAGTTATCTGCAGCTGAAGAAGAAACTGAGGAACAGAGAGTCTCAGTGAAGTTGTTTAAAGTCATGTATTCAGTAAGTTATACAGCTGGGACTCGCACTCAGGCAGGCTGGCTACAGAGCCCATGTTCTCAACTTTTACACCATACCGCCTCTTAGACATGAAGGATGGCATGGGTTAGAAAATGCTAAGCCCTGTACCTTGCTGATAGCTGATAGTTATTATTAATAAATATGTATTAAACACCTACAATACAGTCTGTGTAGACATTAAGTTCACAGAATGCACAGATACAACCTTGATCCCAAAGTACTCATAGTGTTGTCAGGAAGACAGACACACCTCCCAAACTATAATGAAATATTAGCAATATGATTGAGACATGGTAAAAGCTATAGGAGCAAAAGGGAAGTACAAATCAGGGAAGGCTTTCAAGAGTCAGTGTTTTGTACCAATAATACAAAACACAGTTTCTTTCAGCTAAAGAAACACAACAATAAAAATAAAATATAAAACAACAAGAAAACTCTGCCTATCTCAGGAAGTTTATAGTCCAAACACCTCAGTGTGACATTTCAGACTTCTAAATTCTGCTCCTCACCCAGGCTGACGTTTCCACTCCTGACCCCTTTGGTCAATGTCAACTGCACTCCTGCCAGGCTGGCCTCCTCTCTTGCTTTGTGTAGTCCTGCCTCCATGCCTTTGCTCATACATTCCTGCTAATCCAAACATCCTCCCCTCTCCCGCTCATGTGCAAATCCCTGGGCCCTCCCTCCTCCAGGAAGTCTTCCTTGATCAACCTTTGTTACTTCTCTCTCTGAACTGAGAATCTGACTGCCTGCCCAATTGGCATGAGTCTAATGCACTTTTTATACTCTTCTTAGGTAGGTAACTTTTTAGATTACTTATAGGGCTCTTCTTTTTATTTCTTCTTATGAGACATCTCTGTATGCTCCCACTTCAGTTTCTTGTACGAAATAGGTCTATAAATACCTGCTGAGAAGCTAATTATACTTGCCCAATGATCCAGGTTTTATTTTAAGCTCTTTAATCAAATGCACTATGCTAAAGTTCTCTAGGTGTGGCTGAGGCCCCCTGGTATTCTGCGAGTATCCATTCGGTGACTTGAGGGCTTTTAAAATTTTTTAATAGTCAATGTTTACAACACAGCAGAGGCTTTTGGTGTCACGGAAAGGACATAGCTGTTAGGGTCAGAAGAACGTAGCTCAGCCTCACCACATACTCAACTGTACCGGGCAAGTCCCTTAACCTCCCTGGGCCTCAGTTTTCACATTTGTTAAATATTATTGGATGTTAAAATTAAGGCATCCACGAAGGCACCATGATACAATAATGCTGTGTTCTAAGGTAAAGTGCAGACTGCCATACAATTTTTCAGAGTAGATTCTCAAGATTCAGGTTCATGATTCTTCTGCCCCTGACCCTGGATCCCCTGACCCAGATGAATGGAATGAAAGGATTAAAGGGGCCAGGCAAGGTGCTTATGCCTGTAATCCCAGAACTTTGGGAGGCCAAGCTGGGCAGGATCATTTGAGTTCAGGAGTTTGAGACCAGCCTGGCCAACATGGTGAAACCCCGTGTCTACAAAAATACAAAAATTAGCCGGGTGTGGTGGTGCATGCCTGTGGTCCCAGCTACTCAGGAGGCTGAGGCAGGAGAATAGCTTGAACCTGGGAGGTGGAGGTTGCAGTGAGCCGGGATCACACCACTGCACTCCAGCCTGGATGACAGAGCAAGACTCTGTCTCACATAAAAAAAAGAGTTGAAGGAATGAAAAAGAAGAGACTGTGTGAATTATTGGAGGGAGGGCTTGGAAGGCTGAAACCTAACCACCCTTCAACAGGACCACCTGGAAGTGGATAGGAGGATGCAGGAGGAAACCCAGAGGGTAGGCTGGCGAGCCCGCAGGAGGCAGAGCGAAGCAGGAACTTGGGAGGTCACCGCTCCCACCCCAGCTGCACAATGGTGGCAGGCTAAAAAGATGGGCAAGTACTTCCCTTGCAGCAGATGTGGACACCTTAGGAGGGAGGGCTGGCCTGAAGCATTTTACAACCTGTCCAAAAGACCCCCTGGAGGTGGTGCTGTGACCCCACTGCGGACATCTGTATGGAGAGAACTGGAAAATCACGGCCAAGAGGACAGTGTCCAGTCAAGAGGAAGCACCACCCTCTTGATGACAGCTGCAGCCATGGAATGGTTCAGCAGGGGAGTTTCGAGGCCCAGGAAGAACCCAGCCCTGTAAGAGTCAGAAATATCCACCAGGCCTGAGAACAGAGGCTATCTGCTGCCAATTCCAGTTCATGTGAGAAAGAACTCCTCTGACCCCTCTCCTTTCTACAAAGTGGATCCATTTGGGGGAAAGCAAATGAGAAAGAGAGAGACAGAAGTAACTGGAGACCATGCAGCAGGCTCAGGCAAGGGGAGGAAAAAAATCTGCACATCAGTCCATAGGTTAAGTCTGGTCTGGAACTGGACATTATCATTCCAATTTGAGGCTGTGTTTGAGACTGGAGTGACGAAAGGCCTTTCATTATCTACAAGTGTGCAGAGAAGCTATGCCACCTGCCTGAGATCCAGGCAAAACTTTACTCATGATAAACATCTTGAAGAGACAGTAGGAGACAGCAGAAAGCTGCCTTGTGATGGTATCTCCCAGCACGTGGGTTGGGCACGATGATGTTAAGGACTGCTGTTCCTCACTAGCATATTGTCATGAGGTTCACAAGAAGTGAGAGCTTCAGCACCGCATTGTTCACTATCAGGCTTATTGCATACAGATGGATAACTTACTGATAAAATTGTTTAAAAAAAGAAAACTGTGGACACCAATCCTCAGATGGTTCAGCAGACCATTTTTCCTGAAATCCTGGTGTCCTTCCAGGGAGTGAATAGGTCAGGCAGTCTCTTTTGCAACGAAAGTGGCCAGAAGAATTTGAGAACAGCCACACAGGGAAGCCCCTTGACCCACTGGCCACCCTCTTCCAGGAGATGCAAGCGTGATGGTTAAATGTGACAACTGAAGCTGGTCTGCTGAAGATAAGGCTGCAGTCAGGAACTGGCTCCAGGTTAGTAGCCCTCTCTGGGTGCTTCTGCCTCCCCCACCCCGGGGTCTTGTCCTGCCTGGGCAATCAACGGGGATTAGCACTTTGCAGCCTCCCCTCACCTGGAGGTTAGTGTGGGGACTGTTCAAATCTACCTTCCTCACAGCTTTCTATTCCTGACCTCCCTGAATGGCTGCCTCAAATGTAACCAATGTCATCGAGCTTCTGGGGGTCACAGAGAGGGGAACCTGGGGGAGATAGAAGAGAGACAAAGATACATTTTTTTTCTTTTTTTTTTAAAAGAGGTGCTTAGGATATTAATTAGAGCAAATAATCACCAAGTTGTCTGAGTCTCTATTTTATTTGGTGCATGCCGGGTCCGGTGGAAAAAAAGCGGAATTTTAAATAATTTTGGAGTCATAACTGATGTAATTAGGTGCTCACTGAACACTTAGCATCGAGCTGTGCTTATTAAAATTACTGTTTTAATCAGAACATTGCCGGAGAATCATTAATAATACAATGGCTTGATTCCCTGGAACTCTAATTAGACCTGGACTTTTAACCACCTGAGCGTAATCTGGCTTCGTCTGGATACACACCACGGGTGATGCATTATCATTCCAGGGCATGTGGGGATGGGGCATCAATACTGCTATTTAGTGACTGCCTGAATGCTTCTTTTTTTTTAGAGCAGGAGAGTGTGCTGAGGTGGCACAGGAGTACGAGGCTGAAAGGTGAAAGTGGAGGAGGTCAGCCAGGGGCTTGGGGTTGGAGGTCTCCAGGAAGAAGTGGCAGGAGATATGTTCCCTGATGCCACTGGCCAGGCATGCCATATATATTGTTGTCTAGGAGAGCAACAAAGCCACCATATCACAGACCCAGCGAAAGGTGTCCGGATGCTCTGTCCGCAAACAGGCCTGTCCCTGATCCAAAGCAAACACACCTTCAGGGAGGGGTGAAGCTCTAGTCCCTGCAAAGCCCTTGAACACAAGAAATCAAATCAATCCTTCACTAAGTGATACGGAAAGGTGAGTCTGGTGAAGGGCTAGGGCCACTTCTTCCTCTTCCTGTCCAGCACTTTATGTCATCACAGAAAGAGACCAAGAGATTGGCTGAGTTTCTCTGGAACTTCCTTTTTTTCTTTCTTATTTTATTTTATTGAGACAGTGTCTTGCTCTGTCACCCAGGCTAGAGTGCAGTGGCACAGTCTCAGCTCACTGCAGCCTCCGCCTCCTGGGTTCAAGCGATTCTCCTGCCTCAGCCTCCCAAGTAGCTGGGAATACAAGTGTGTGCCACCATGCCTGGCTAATTTAATTTTTGTATTTTTAGTAGAGATGGGGTTTCACCATGTTGGCCAGGCTGGTTTCGAACTCCTGATCTCAAGTGATCCACCTGCCTAGCCTCCCAAAGTGCTGGGATTACAGGCATGAGCCACCGCACCTGGCCTTCTCCGGAACTTTCTAATCCTTAGGGACATTTCTTTGGGTAATGAGGTCCAGAACCGGAGGGAGGTGAGTGGATGGATTTGTGTCCCCTGAGGCGCCTGGCTGAGCTGGCTTTTGGGGACAGGGGTCACTGGCCCAGCTCCTAGCTCTAAGCACAGGGCTTTGGTGTCTCTGCACCTTTGGCTGGTGACTCAGTGTGTCAACAATACTGATTTAGCCCCGGCTGGGTGCAGAGTTTTCTGATGGATGTCACAAAGGTGGCCAAAACCAAAGGAAATGAAAACATGCTCTCTGCCCTCCTACAGCTTGCTAACTAGTTGGAAGAGCATAACAAAGATGTGAAAAAAAGATTCAGGACTCTTAAAAGGCAGATACTGAGATGTGAAAATTAAGCTGGAGCCAGACAAGGGCATGTGGAGTTAAGTGGTGATTAGAGTGGGGTGGGATTAATCAGAGAGGGGGTGAAGCTTTCTGAAGACAGACTGTGAGGCCAGACTTCATCTTTGACGCATGGGGAGGGGCAGGCAGCACTTTTCGGGTTCTTCATTAAGCATTCCTCTGGCTGCTACTACAGGCCCTGAGACAAGAAGATTGAACTCTCTGAGACTCCCTTTCAGGACTACCACTTGCCAATGCGGTACTTTGGTGCAATTTGAAAGAGGTGCCCCATCTAGGCACATGCCTTGGTAAGATGAATGAGGACTTTTGTTTCAGCCCCTACTTGCCCCTCAGCCAGATGCCTTTATGTAGTGCATTTCCTGAACCATCATTTCAGCCTTGAAGTCCCTAGGGAAGTAGGGAGTTGAAATATAGCTGGTGGGTCTCCCAGAGTTCTGGCCTGGTGGACTCAGAGACAGAATGTTTTTAAGTACTAAATATTGTGGGCCCTCTTATAATGTCTGTGAGGGGAGGTCAGAGGGTGCAGAGAGATGGGAATCACCTTTGGGTCTGAGAGCAGGCAAGGCTCCAAGGAGGAGGCAAGATTTGAAAAGGGGCAGGGTGAAAAGTGGCCTGGGCATGAAAACGCCATAAACCAAAGCAGAGAGAATGAGCTATGGGTGTGCACTGGGGCCAGCGAAGGACACAATATGGGATGTCACCCATGTAGATTTCCTTTGTTACTCATTCCTTAGCAGTAGACGCTTAATAACCGAAAAAGTAAAACAAATCTAATCCTCCCTCAAGGATGAAGAGCCCAATGGAAGAATTTCTCTGTAAACCAATGCTGCTGGGAAGGAGATTTCCATCCCCGGGGAAACCTAAGTAAGGTCCACCATGAGCGAGAGCTGGGCTCCGAGACTGCCTTAGGAGAGGGGGCCTGGTCAATCGCTATCCCTTTCAGGATTCCCTAAAACCCTCTCACCCCAGGAGGATTTATACACCAGGGAAGGTCAGATGTGAGGCGAAATGGTCTCTGTGTTTTAGAAGCAGATGGTTAGGTTTCCACTCAAGAATTCTCGTGCTTATGAAAAAAGAATACTGATATGGTTTGGCTCTGTGTCCCCACCCATATCTCACCTTGAATTGTAATCAAAGGCAGGACCAGGTGGAGGTAATTGAATCATGGGGGTGGTTTCCCTCATGCTGTTCTCGTGATAATGAGTGAGTTCTCATGAGAACTGATGGCTTTATAAGCATCTGGCATTCCCCCTACTGGCACTCATTCTCTCTCCTGCTGCCCTGTGAAGAGGTGCCTTCCACCATGATTGTAAGTTTCCTGAGGCCTCCCCAGTCATGCAGAACTGTGAGTCAATTAAACCTCCTTTCTTTATAAATTACCCAGTCTCGAGCATTTCTTTATAGCAGCATGAGAACAGACTAATACAAATATCATGAATGGTAGCCCCTGACACACACACATATGTACTCCATTACTCCACAAACCCATACCCATACTCGTGTACACACACTCATGAACACAAACACACATCCATACCACACACTCACAGTGCACACCAATACAGTGACACCATGCACGAACTTCACACATGCTCACATCACAGCTCACACGGATACTCCATACACACATTCATGTCCCACACAGTCATGGACAGGCAGGCCCACCACACTCATCTCCCCTCATACCCCCACCTGCACACAACTGTGAGAAGAAAAGAGCCATCAGGAGCTGTCTCTCTCTGGCTGGTAGTGAAAAAAGATTAGGGCTGCCCAAGATTAAACAGGAGAGTTAAAAATGACAAACAGACTTCTAAACAGGATTAGAGTCTTAATGAAAACCATAATGAATGGAAGAGCCACACAGATATCACCCATAAACGGCTATAAATATCAGACCAACAGATGAGATCCTAGATACTGCAGTTTGGAACCCCATCAAATTACTTCTATTATAATTCATCAATAAATAACCAGGCCCAGCCTCATATTTAAGGTTCTATCATGCTTTGGAGAATAGGCTCTGAGGCCAGACAGACCCTGGTTTGAATTCTGTTTTTGCCTCTGATTTGCTGGGTTTTCTTGAGCATGTTAGTGTTATTTCTTCATCTTTATCCATAAAAACGTCTTAATCTATAAAATGTGGATGATTATCTCCCTAATAGGAATGTTGTGAAGATTAAATTAAGTTCTGGACAGCTATAATAATAATTTTTAATAATATTAACGCTTTATTATTATGGTGATTGTTAAATTTCACTCTCTCTTGTTCCCTCTTCCATGCCCCTTTCAGCTTCCTAGGGTTAAGGAAAGCCCGTGAGATGCACCCATTGGATGGTGAGATCAGTAGGAAAATAAGGAAAAAAGGAGAAGGGAGATAGAAGGAATAGGAAATAATAGGAGAACAAGGCAGGGGGAAGAAAGCAGGAAGAAGGGAAGAGGAACAGAGAATAAGGATGGCAGAACCCTTAGATGTACACATTGATGTCATCCATGGTGCAGCATCCACTTCCTCTTTGGGTGGTGGTTGCCAGGGGAAGGAGAGGTGCTGGAATAGCCAGACAATTAGGACATGATCTTCCCAAGATTTTTAATATAAGAGCTTTAATGAGATAATTCACACACCAAAAAATTCACCAAACTAGATTGCGCAATTCAATGGTGTTTTGTATATTCAGGAACTGTACAACCATTAGCACAATCCATTTCAGAATACTTTCATCATCCCCCCAAAAGAAACCCCATACCCATTAGTAGTCACTCCCATTCCCTCCTGCCTGCCCCAGCCCTAGGCAACACCAATCGACTTTCTGTCTGTAGGGATTCACCTATTCTGGGCATTTCATAGAGATGGAATCATACAGTACGTGATCCTTTGTGACTAGCTTCTAGCATGATGTTTTCAAGGTTCATCCATATTGTAGCCTATGTTAGTAACTTCCTAAATTTCCTAATTCAGAGGCAAGAAGGTGAAAGAAAGGAGCTTAATATCCTCCCACATAAGCAAGTGTCATGATGGAAACTGTCCCACTGTTCACCCCAAGAAATCCCACTGATCCAGTTTAGTCATTAATATACACACTTAAGATATCAGGCAGCTGGATTCTTTCATTTTTACCATCAGGGAAACCGAAGCACAGTGAAATGATGTTTTCGAGTGTGGGCCTTTTGCACCCTCCACACACCTCTCATGAAAAAAAGAAAATGAAATAGGCTCCAAGTGTAAGGGTCTCTTGTCTCTTGGTTTTTATGATTTAGATTTAATGTTAAGAGACAAATAAGGGTCTCCTGGTAGTCTGTCCATATGTCTCTCTCTTACCTCTCCAAAGTGACAATTCCCAGTTCAATTTTTACAATGTAAAAGAATGACTCTCCTCTAATGGTTATCTGTCATTGTTTATGTTTAAAGTAATTTTATATGTTAAGACTGTAGCCTTAGGATGCGGGAAAGCAGAAAGCAGTACCCTTGGGCCAAACGCAGTTTCTGAGGTTGGAGGAGCTTCTAATCTGGATTGAAAAGGACGCGGCTAGTCATTGGACTTAGAAAACATAAACCACCTTTCTTCTATAACTGAAGTGAGATGTGTCCCTAAGGGAAGCTACTTGGAGAGTTACGGGAATGACCAGGTATCTATTCCATCTAGTTGACCCCAGAGAGAGAAACTATTTAAAGCCTATGTTGTGTGTGCAGCTTCACTCTGCACTGACGTCTACCAACATTGCCCCGTGGCCACTAGATGTTAGTCTAGGGCCACTGGTAAAGAAACTGAACTTCATAAAAAGTAGAACCAATCCAGTGGTTGTCAGAATAGAAAACCAAGTATCACACGTTCTCACTTACAAGTGGGAGCTAAATGAAGGGAACTCATGAACACAAAGAAGGGAACAACAGACACTGGGGCCTACTTGAGGGTGGAGGGAGGGAAGGGGGAGAGGAGCAGAAAAAACAACTATTGGGTACTAGGCTTAGTACCTGGGTGATGAAATAATCTGTACAACAAATTCCCATGACCCGAGTTTACCTAAATAACAAACCTGCATATGTACCCCCGAACCTTAAATAAAAGTTGTTTTAAAAAGTAGAACCAGGCCAGGCACGGTGGCTCACGTCTGTAATCCCAGCACTTTGGGAAGCCGAAGCGGGCAGATCACCTGAGGTCAGGAGTTCAAGGCCAGCCTGGCCAACATGGCGAAACCCTATCTCTACTAAAAATACAAAAATTAGCTGGGCGTGGTGGCGGGCGCCTGTAATCCCAGCTACTTGGGAGGCTGAGGCAGGAGAATCCCTTGAACCCGGTAGGCAGAGGTTGCAGTGAGCCAAGATCATGTGATTGCACTCCAGCCTGGGCGACAACAGCAAAACTCCGTCTCAAAAAAAAAAAAAAAAAAAAAAAAGAACCAGAGATACCCTATGTTTTAGGCAAGCCCAACTAAAGAGGGTTGAGAAAATAAATTTCCTATACATGTGAGGCCTTCTTTCTTTCCTATACATTCAAATATTGATTTAGCTTGAATTATAGGGAGAGGAAATTGTCCACAGCTAGGCCAAGCTGGTGTCACAGCGTCCTTAGTGGCCAGGCACGGCAGTAATGGTATAGGCCACAGCTAGAGAACGAGGGCAGAAGCTCAGAGAATGGGGTATAGCCATGACATTCGGGTATAAACACTGGTCACTTTCTATTTAGGCTATTCAGTGACTAGTATCTCCGGTTTTCTCAATGGATACTGTGAAAGTCTCAGAACCAAATTCATTATTAGACCCAAATTCACTTCAAAATGTAACAATAACTATACCAAATGGCCTTTTGTGTAGGGCCATATTTCATGAAATAATATAATGTTGCCACTCTAAAAAGGTCAGGCATTGTTTATTAACGATGCCCAAGAATCTCATTAAATCCGGGAGGTGAGGATAACAGGAACTAACACAATGCGTTTGAAGTGATCTGTATACCAGTGAAGGCTGGTCTGGGACCAGAGGAGCAGTTTGGACTTCCCATGGCTACTGCCCTGAAGTCCCCATGCTCTTTGAAGGGCTGTCATCCACTGCTCAGCATCTCTCTTCATTCCATCTGCCATGGGGAAGGCACTGGTTAGATTTACCCAGCCCTCAGATTCCTTCCTCCATCAGAATTTACCCCTTGGTTCATCCTTGGCAAACAAATAAGTGATCCCAGGTGAGAGAAATCGCATTCTGAGAAAAGCAAGGTGATGAGAATTTTCTCCATTAATCTGGGCATGCTCCAATTTGCACTAGGAGCATACATTTGCATGTTGAATTCCAGAAGCCCAATTCGAAGCATATTAGATAAAATAAAATTAATTCTTGTAATCCTCTGTGATCATATTCAAACCGAATATTCTCAGCTTGGCACACAGAACAGGTTTGCCTGCCCGCTTTCCTCTGTACTTTTCTATTAAAATTATTTTCTCAAACACCTGATTGAGTTCTGGCTGCACAAATGGCCCTGGGAGGGGATAGGCTGCTTCCAACCTGCATCCGCTCCCCAAGTAGCTTAAAGCCTGATGGGGGAAGACACCACATGGATAGATCCGGACAGGCAGTTTTACCATAAGAGTTAGAGAAATTCAGAGGACTGAATTCACTGTGATTGGGGTGGATTGAGATGGTTTTGAGCTCTGTTGCGGTCACAGGAGGAAAGACAACATGGAGATGGCAGCAGGCAGATATTCTGACCTTTGTGCAAGTTCAAAACACCTGCATGCTCTTTAGTCTGTACTGCATCCCCTCCTTCCAGGGAGGCTGGCAATGAGAGAGACAGCTCCTTAAGATGAGATGGTTAGCAGCTGAGCCCAGCAGGCCTCAGGGACTTGAAAAAAGGCCCACGACCATGAACGATTGGTGGGTGGGTCTCAGAGGGTGACAGCAGTGAGCAGGAGGCTAGCTTACCCTAACTCTCTGCAGAAATCTGTTAGACCCTGGGAAGCAACCTTGACCCCATGGGGTGGTTTGGTTCTTTCTGGCTCCCCCATGAGGAAACCACAGGCTTTTCCTGTGGTTCTGGAGATAGGGTCAGTCACAGACTATGTGGGCTTAGCTTGCCTGGGGGAATCAAATAGACTTTCTGCACACTAGTCTCTAGTGGTCCATGATCCAATGACTGCCCAGTGCTACCAAGGCTTGTATTGGAAAACTGAAGATCTTTTTAAAAAGATGTTCAATTTGTTTGTTGAATGTTTGCTGTGTTCTAGGCACTATGCTCATGAAGCATCTCATTTAATCCTTGCAAGAACCTGATGGAGTGGATTCTAGCATTATTGACAGTTTTTCTAAGAGGAAACCGAAGGCTTAATGAGGACAGGTAACTTGGGGAAGGCTGATGCTTAGGAAGGGTAGTGCCAGGACTCCAGATGTGCCTAACACAGAGCCTATCCTCCCCACCATGCCATCCTGCCTCCCAACAGTAAGCAGGCAATTTGGAAGCGTGTTCAGAGCCTATGGTATCTTCCTGCCTGCCCTGCCTTCCCAGAGCACAGGCCCTGCTCTCACTCTCTCTTCTGCTACTCTCCTCACCTCCCTACCTCAGAAGCACTCCTGAAAGGAAGCACACAAGAAGAGAGGCAGGCACACTGTGTCCTGGGCCCAGGGACAGGTGACCTTTCCAATTCAGCACCTTTATAAAACTTACCTAATGAAGTTAAGAGGAAAAAGGAATTAATGAATAAACGAAGGTTAAATCACTCCCTGCAGAAAATTGATGCTGACAGCAAGGGCCAAGAAGAGAGCTTGGGAAGCAGGGAGCTGACTTGCACAAGAGGCTTTTAAAACTCCTTTCTCCAAATTTGAGGGAGGCATAAGGCTTGCCAATTCCAACATGGGCAATGAAAACTTTGGGAAGTCCAAGGAGATGGCCTGAAGAAAATGGAGTGAGAAAGCCATACTCTACCTTGGATGATTGTTTTTGCAGAAGCTGATTTGGGTATGATACACATATGTGTGCATGTACACACACATACATACACATACTCCTTTTATTTACTCACAACCAGTAAATAAAAGGTCACATTTATGCTGTATACACCATTAACTCCTGCAGCCAATCAAGACATAGTTTGGGTCTGCCTGGCTCATTCCTGGCCTTCCAGGGACCAATGTGGCATGTCTTCTTGTCAGCACACACTTGTTAGCCTCCTGTCTCCTTGTCACCACTACAATTGTCCCTATTCCCAACAGCCACCCTCCACTTCCCGAGGTGCACACCTCAGTCCAATTGGCTCAGAGGAGCTGCAGAGAAATGCATGGCTGGTCCCAGGGAGAAAGAGAAGGAAAAGCAGAAATAGCTGCTGGCCATGGCCAGCCAGCCGGGCTGGGAGCTGATGTAGGGAGTAGAAGAGGATGAAGGGAAAAGGATGAAAACAACCTGGTAAAGCTCAAAAAGTTGGATGAGGGGCCAAGAGAGAGAGTATGCTGCTGACTTACGGAGTAACTCCGGGGCAGCCACTCGCTAGCCTCAAGCTCAGTTTAGCTGCTCAGTAAAACGGGGTGAGAAGAAGAGGCCTGCAGGAGAGAATCTGCAGTAGAAATCCCCCCTGGCGGGAGCAGCGAGTAGGGAAGATCAATAGCTCTGACTGCCCCTCCTCTCTGTGCCCACAGGTTTTTAGGAATCTGATCATGAAGACAGGCAGGCTCCGAGGGCCCAGCACAGCCTGCCCATCTTGCAGCATGATTCTGCCTGGGAGTCAGGGAACCCACACTGGCTGATGGAGGGCTGGGAGAGCTGCGGGGAGCCTGAGGGGCGGGCAGAGAGATCCGGAGCCAAGAACTGACTAGATCAACCAGTAAATAAAAGGTCACAATGATTTTTCCAGGCACCCAGGGAGAAGCAGACAAGAGAGCCCAGCTGACGGCAGGAGCTGACAACTGGCAAATGAGCCTCCACAGTTATCTGTTTTCCTTCCTTATTCTTGTCTCATAAGACAGAGGCTAGAAATAGATGCAACTGGCAGATGACTTAAGGATGAAAAATGGGCAACGTGTTAGTTGTGGGGGACTCCATGGTAGTGAAAGAGGGAGATTACCTTGGAGGCAGGGAGAAAACACAGGGCTTAGCTAGAGCCATGGCTGAGGGTTTGGCTCTCACACTGTCCCAGGCATTGTATAGGGATTTCACCTTCTCAGCAGTCCTATCAGGTAGGTATTATTGTTATCCCCACTTTACAGAAGACAAGACCAAGGCTTAGAGAGGATACGCTAGGCCATATCAAAGAGTGATAGAGCCAAGATTTGAATACAATTCTAATTGCCTCCCAAGATGAGGCCTTACAGTAAACTAGAATGCCTCCTTTTCATAGATATTTTCCTTTGTTTCCTTTTTCCCCCTCCTCTCTTTCTTCCTAAGCTCCAACAAGTGTTTCCTGTTTCTTTCTTTTTTTTTTTTTTTTTTTTTTTTGGGATGGAGTCTCTCTCTGTCCCCCAGGCTGGAGTGCAGTGGAGCGATCTCGGCTCCCTGCAAGCTCCATCTCCAGGGTTCACACCATTCTCCTGCCTCAGCCTCCCGAGTAGCTGGGACTACAGGTGACCGCCACCATGCCTGGCTAATTTTTTGTATTTTTAGTAGAGACGGGGTTTCACCGTGTTAGCCAGGATGGTCTCCTGACCTCGTGATCCACCCGCCTCAGCCTCGCAAAGTGCTGGGATTACAGGCGTGAGCCACTGCGCCCAGCCCTAGTGTTTCTTGAGTACCTACTAAGTACCAAATGCTGTGGTATCTCTTGGGGAGACAGAAGCAGCCCAGACAGGCAAGGTCTCTGCCTGTAATAAATGCTGCAGAAATGATACAATGAATGCCTGAAATGGGTGCACTATCTCATTTCCTTTATCCTCTTTCCATGAACCTGGGATGGGCAGAGATCTTCCTTGCTGTACAGTCAGAGAAATGGCTGTCCTGAGGGGAGGGGATTGGCAAGGTTACAACGGGCTTCAGCACTGGAGCTCTGCCAGAGCTAGCATCTTTTTTCCTGATGATGTTACTTAGATACAGGGTATGTCCAGAGGACCTGCTGGTGAGCTTGCCACAGAGAGCACCAGGGGCTGGGTGCATGATGGCTTCCTACCAAGTTCTATGTTGTAGCAGCTGGGGCTGGGGGAATCCCTCTTAGGAAAGGTGGGTGGATTGAGCCCCCCTGAAGGCTGCTCACCTGCATGCTGCAGAAATTCTGTGAGGATGGATGCCTCCTAATCCTTGCCTTCAGCTCTGCCAGTATCAAGTTTTGGGAAATAGTCCTTGAATATACCAAACTCTCTCACACTCCCAAGCTTTCCTTAACTTGAACAATATTTCTTTGCTTTTTTATTCCACTGGGTGAGCCCCTCCCCTCTCACGATTCACCTAGAGCATCACCTCCTCCAGGAAGCCTTCCTTGACTCACAGGCTATATTGGGTGGTGCCCTCTCCTGTAATCCCAGCACTCTGCATACTGTATTGTAACTCACTACTTACTTGTCTATTTTCCATATGTATGTGTGATAGTGCAAGGATAAGCTCTTTGCTGTGAGCACAGTTGGTCCTCAAAGGCTGTTTGATGAGCTATTTAATGGCTAAGTGGCTAGAACATTTTTTTCATCTCAGTTCATTCTTCCCTCTCCTGTCTTCCTTCTACCTGGCTTGCATCTCTGCCCACCTCTTTCTTATAATTAAATATTAGTTGAGGGACAGAGGCTGAACCCAGACTGTTTGCTAAGTCACCAACAGCTGATGACACAGTCAGCCTTCTCATCACCTGGTGGGAGTTTCAAACCCCAACCTGTTTGCAAGGTGGGGACCAGTCATAACTGGGGGGAACAAGGTGAGGTGAGGGAGGTAACTTGAGGCACAGTGGCAAAGGCTCAGGGAACTTAACCACAAGGCATGCACTCTATGAAGTGGAGATTGCGGCTGAAAAGCTGAGTCCCTGAGCTGGCCTGCTACAGAAAGATCAAAGGGCCAGCTGGAAATGCAGCCAAGCTGGGCTCTAAAAACAGTGTAAAGCTGGGAGGAGAAGGGCTTGAACACACATTTCCCCCAGTGGGTACATGCAATGGCATATGAAAGAGCCTAACACTAACATAGTGAAGACACTAACACTAACATAGTGTAGACACTAACACCCCCAGAACACACAGGAACGTTTGCTCTCATCTCACTCACCAACCCCACCAACTTCTGTTCTCACAAGCACATGCATACTCGAACCCAGGTCAGCCTCCGAGCGCTGTGCACACAGCCTCCATTCCATACACATTCATGGCTAGAAGGAATGCACCCAATGTCATTGCCGCAAGGGGCATTCAAACACATTTTATCAATGGGGAAAATGAGGCTCCAGTTGACCTTGACTCAGATGTGTGGTGAGTGACTCTTGATGATTGGCACAGGCAGACTCTTACCTACTCCTCCCCGGCCACTCTCCCATCACCCCTCTGCCATCCTGCCACCTCCCTCCCGCAACAAACTCCCTGGCAGTTCAAAGTTGGATTCCAAATTTTGTCCCTAGGATCAACCCCATTGAGAAACCTTATCTGACAGACAGCATGTGCCAGTGGCTGGCCAGAACTCACAGGTGGTGAGAAAAAGCCCCCCACATATTTCTGTAAATGAGTACAGCTGGTCACTTCTGGCTGAGGAGTTCAGAGGCCTTCACTAAAGAAATCAAAAAGTGGTGGTCAGCTTCCCACTTCATGGGAACCCTGTGTTCACAAAGATGTCCCTGGATAAAAGGCCTGAGAGGAGCTGTTCAAGCCTGAACCATTTGTATGAGAAATCTGCTGGGGTGGAGACCAACACCTTTCCCCTCCCTCAGGGGCACCCAGAGCCCTGGCCCACATACAGAGGGACCTTGCCAAGTCCCGGCCACGCACCCCAGGACTTCCAATTGCGCTTGTCTCCAGGGGTTCACTGACTTCCCCTTTGCCTCTGCCCCTCTTCCTGATGCATGGTGCCGCTCTCGACACCTCTGAACCTGCATCTTCACACTACAGAAACCGTCCTAGTCATCAGTGGATGGCAGTAACTTTTCATGACGGCTCCTCTGATGTTGCCATCTTTCGTGTTGATCAAAACAACAAAACGAATCAGACTCTCGGCATCTGATTGAAGCCTAATTGGAAATCCAAAGTGGCACTAAATGTTATGGTCTAAATAAAACACATTCAATTACTGAAACTCAACGCAGGGAACACAAGGGAGCGCTCCTGGAAGGAGCTGAAAAGCAGGCTGCAGAGCTCTGGGGTGTCATTCCGGGGCCCCCTGTGTCTGGCTGGATAAGACTTAAGATGGGGAACACAGGAGGCTTTCTTGAGTCTGAGAACCTCTTACTTAGGGCCAGGGATTGAGCTGATATGGGTTTGCATGGTTCACACTTGAAACAGCACCAGAGAAGCTGAATCGGGGCTTCAATGCCTCACATGTGTTCTGCAGCTGCCCTCCTTGAAAAGGTTTTTCCTTTGCCAGACCGACGAGCTTTGGATGGGGGTAAGAAAATATGCAGAGGAGTCATGATGTCTCCCGCTGGGGTCTCTGCATGGGCTCTCCTGGTGCTAGGGGAGGGCGAGCAGTCCAGGAGCTTTGCAGCCACACAGACAGGCTCCTCACTCCCGGCTATGCCTCCTAAAAGTCATAGACACACCTAGCTCAGATCCCTCAACATTGCTGCACCTGGCCTTCCTCATTTGTCAAACGGGGGAGATAATACCTGTCTTCCCAGGTTCTTGTGAAGAGGGGAGATCATGCTCGTGAGGCGCTTGGCTGGCTGCGCAGGAGAAACTCCGCGGTAACTTCCTGGGGCGAGGTGCTTTTTCTCCCTGCATTCTGACCACCTGCAGAGGCATTTCCCCTGACTGTCCATGTAGGGCCCGGGGCAGTGCTTGCTTTCCTTTATTGGTTTTTTAAACTAAACAGTGCACTACTCCAATCTCCTTGAAGGTGTCAAATGAGGAGTTACTGAGTCTGTGCTGGCCTCCTGGAGCCCAGAAAGCCGCCTCTGAACCCTTTTCCTAACTGGGAGCCGGGTGTGGGGAGAGCAGGAGGGGAGGAGCCTTCTGCAGCCACAGGGCAGCCAGGGGGCGCTGTCTCAGGAAGCTGAAGAGGTGTGGATTTGGCTTCAGAGGTGTGGGGTGGAGTCCCAGCCCTGCTGTTGGACAGCTTGGTGGCCCTGGGCAAATTACTTAGTCAGTTTGAATTTCAGTTTTGTTATCTGTTAAAAAAAGGCAAGGACAATAATACTTATCTCATAGGACTGGTGTATTAGCTGAGGCCATGTTTGTAAACTAAAATAAGAAAAACACGGCAAAAATATTAGTTAGATTTCAACACAGCTTAAATAAGGTAGGGCTGAGAGGCAAGGCAGGGTGGTTAAGCTTTTTTTAGGTGTGGCTGTTTGCAAAGCATGACCTGCAGGGCTTGGCCTGATGATGATGTATGGGGGCACAACTGTAAAAATATAATTACTACTACTACCATTTACTAAGCGGGTAGTAGGTTCCTGGTACTTTTCAGAGTGCTTTTTATGCATTAATTAATTTAATCTTCAAACAGATGCCATAATTATGCCCATTTTACAGGTGAGGTAACTGAAGCACAGAAAGGTGAAGCAACTTGCCCAAGGTCACATGGCAGTAAGCAGTAGAGCCAGGGCTTGAACCCAGGCTGGCTGCTCCCCATGGCTGTCAGGAAACTACTGATAGTCAATCATTGTCTGCTTCTCCACATTCGGCTTGGTATACCCTTTCTTCTCCGGAGTCACTGCCCCCTCAGACCTCTCATCTCCTCTTCTGTAAAATAAAGGGCTGCTCTTCACTAGAGAATCTCTGGATAAACCAGCTCTGGATTCTTGTGTTAGGGAGAGGGTGAGTCCCCCGAGTGACCCCAATTAGGGAGGGAACCAGGACAGGTCCCTTCCTGGTGGTATGCGTTTATGAGTTACTTTAATCATTGAATACATAGTACATCTCTTCTACAGCATTGCTCTGATGTACAAATAAATAACCTTATCTTGTGATTTATCTATACATCATTGCGCTTCTCCAGAATTTGACCACCTTGAGGGCAGGGATTCTATTTTATTTTTTGCTATACAAAAGCATACGTAATAGTGCTATTGTTGCATTGAAAACAGCAAAAAGAAATCAAGAAGGTACTTATCTTCCTGGCAGCCCTATTTAGAAGGAGACTTTTGCTGGAATATTACTTAGAAAGACAGCCCTATCTATATCTACATATGCAAATGACTTGTCAGTGGACAGCTCTATGCATTATACATGGTCAACACTTAATGGTCTATTGAATGAATGAGTCTGCATATGCAAACAATATGCAAATCTTTCCCTATTTTAATTTGACCCTTCGGAACATCTTCAGGAACTCTCTTGGGCCTAGGTTGTTTTAATGTTGCTAATTAAAAGTTTTTAAACACAGTGTTCACTCTTGTCTGTGCTGAGTGAAACTGTTGTCAAGTTGGGAAAGGATGCTGGGCTAGACCAGGTTACTCAGGATTTACCCTGATTCTTCTGGTAATTCAGATGATGGCCTAGGCAAATGACTTTCCTCTCTGGAGGCATCAGTTTCCCCATATTTAAAAGAATGAAGGAGGGTAAGTTTCCTTCTGGTGAGACACTGTAACTTCCCATCTCCTGGTCATAGGAACATGATTCTGGGCAGTCAGTGTCATCCTTCAGCAATACCTATCTAGAAAGAAAAATCAAATCCCTCATCAAGGATTAGAGAGTCTCCAACCCCCTTGCCCATTTAGAGAAATGAGGTTTTTGGCACCACTTCTCCCAGCCTGGGCATTGTATTCAATCATTTCTTTCCAAACCAAAGGATTTCAAAATAAGAGGCTGGAGTTTTCTCTCTTAAATACAGCAAGCCAAGTGTCTGATTAATAGGGTGGGTTTGCATTGCCTTTCCCTCATGTGAAAATATTTATTTAAAAAAAATACTCCGATGAGAATATTAATAGCCAGAGAATCAGCTCCCTATCAGCCTCTTTGTTCCTTGACATTTGAAATGGGGGAAAGAAAGAGGAAAAAATCAAAACCCGGGTTTGAGGTGGTCATTGTTGCCTGCACCCACAGCCCCGGGAGGTGGGAGGCAGGACTCCGCCCTTTCTTTGGGAAAGGCACTGATGTGAGTGCTCAGCTCCTGGGCCACACTGGGGTCCTGCATCCTTAACCAGAAACACATGTGCATCAAAGCCTTGGATTGAAAGTGACACATTTTAAAACAAAAGTGCAGCAGCAATTCGCTTATCCTCACTTTCCTAATCCGCAAACTCTGTAATTCTCCCCAAAGTCCCTCAGGCTCAACTCTCCTCCCTGCCCCCTCACATTCCCTCCTCCCCAGAGGCTCAGCCAAGGCCTCCCAGCCCAGGCAGAAGGGAGGTCTCCTGTTACTGAGTCCTTGCCCGCCTTGTAAAAATACACCTTGGCATGCTCTGCCTGCACCCTGGGAAGCCTTATCGCCTGGACTAAACAAATGTGCACAATCAAAATAATAGTCTGAGATGTCAAAATAAATGAGCAGGGGACATCTGGAAGTGTGACTCCCCACGTTTTTTCTTTCCCTTCCCCAAGGTCTTTAGGTGCCTTAGGGACTTAACAGTTCAGTAGCTTTGGCTACAGGTAGAAGACTTACTGCCCCATGTATCACAATAGCACCTCTGAAAAGGATTCTTATTTTTGGTTCTAGATCCGGGTTAGTAGTTGACAGGGCCTCCTCCAAATGGAGGAAACCACAATTAGTTTTCTGGTGCAGCTGCTGGACATTGGTGGATGGTATGCTAAGGGTCTGGCCTGTCCTTCCATCTCTCCCCAGATACTGCGTAGGGTCTTCAAACAATGCAGAGAATTTCTTAGGGGGTGGTGGGGGGTCTCTCCTGCATTTAAGACCTTCAGGAAAGGGTGGCTTTACAATCTTTCCAAATAATTTTTGTTTCTGAAACTCCAAGCTGACAGTCTCCTTGCCCCAACTCTTTTAAATTACGTTAAACAGATGTGGTTAAAAAGCCAGTTTCCTGTAATCCATGGGGATGAGGTCCCACTCCCCCACATACTGAAGGTAAGTCACTGAGAGGCCTGCTCCTGTGCAAGATGAGACAATATTGCCACAGGAAGACTGCCTGGAGAGCTATTTATAAGCAGCATACCCTCCATGGGAAAATTTCCAGGCAGTGTGATCCTGCTACTGATGGATTCCTGCAAACCCTTCCTGAAAGCATTTTCAGGGCCCACAGGCATTTGATAGACCTCAGGTAGGACTTACACAACCTTCAGCAAATCAACAGCAAGCTTTAAAGTTGTCAGTACTTCCCCACATGTTTGAAGAAATCAGTCCAGCTTTGATGACTCCAGCTGGGCGTTGGGTGTTGCACAATGCTGATGGGGCAGCTAAACAGGGTGCTCTCTGGGCCTCGTCTTTCTTATCTGGGGTCAGAATGGGTGCTCTCTACAGTCCTTACCAGCTCTGATGCTCTGTGATTCCATGACCTTGGTAGCTGGGGAATCATGTTCTTAATGTGTGTTCATGGACCACACGCATCAGAATCACATGGGTGTTGGGCAGCAGAGGGAAGAGGCAAGCAGACCGACTGCGTGACTGCCAAAGCCAAGTCACAAAAAGGCGATGCAATTTCTACCTCATTATAGGGAGTACTCACTCTTGGAGTCCTCAGCTGCCACAAGCAAGAATTCTGACTGTCTTGGGGGCCGCCTGCTGTCAGGAAGCCCAACACACATGGCAGGGACTTGTCTAAGGCACTGTGGTCAACAGTCCCAACTGATCCCAGCTTCCACTTCCCAGACATGTAGGGGGAGAAGCTTCCAAATGATTCTAGCCCCTTGTCCTTCTAGTCAGTCCCAGCCATTTGTGTCATCCTAGCAGAGGCTGCAGACATTATAGAATAGAGATGAGCCGTCTTCAGTGCACCGTATCTGAATTCCTGACTTACACAGTCTTTGAGCATAATAAAATGTGTTTTTAAAAATATCCCCAAACCTGGGGGTGGTTTGTTACAAAGCAGTAAATAACCAGAACAGTGTGCCAACTACTAGTACATCTAGGACATTCGGAACTGGGGTCTGAATGTTCACTACCTGGAGAGTGGCAGACCCATCTTTCACAATGAGCGTGAGACTTTGTTACTTACGTGGAGAAACCAGAAATGAAAAGCCCCATAGGTATTCCCTTTCTGGCCCGGTGTCCATGCATGCAGCCCCAGGCTCACAGGTTCCTCCTCCCTTCTCTCCACAGATGCCTGCTATCCTGGCCTTCTGGCCTCACACATCGGCCTGGGGCTGCCTGCCTGTATATTGAGGGGAGCGGGACTGTTTAGTCTGCCAGGCACATTCCTGGATTTTTAAAATAAATACCAGATTATGGGAGACTCAGCTCAGTGCTGTCATTTGGCCAGGCCAGAGGCTTCTGAGGCAGCGCTTGGGAGTAAGCAGGAGGAATGGCAGTTGGAGGCCACTGCCTGAAACTGGGAACTCTGTGCCAGCCATAATTTGTGGTGGAGATGTTTCTAGCCCTTTCTGAAGTTCCAAAGAAGTTCTAAGACTACTACTAGTAATAATAATTACCACCACCTTTTGAAAACACTATGTGTCAGACATGATGCTGGGTGATTTATATGCATTCTCTCAATCCTCACAACAATTGCATTAGGCCCATTACACAGATGATCAAACTGAGGTTTAGAGAAGTTGAATAACATTATCAAAACCATATACTTAGTAAGTGTCTATGGAATGGAGGTTGGCCTGACTCCCACGGGCCAGCTCTTAACATCTATGCTATTTTGCCTCTCCAGGCCTTGAAGTAGAGAACAGAATCCCATGCCCCAGCACCCACTCCAAACACACACACCCATCACCATCCTTTCTGCTGTTCCCAAGGCCCTTTCCAGTCTGTACGGAGCCATTCTCCACTGTGACTCCCTTTTTCCATTTCACCCTTCGCTGGATCATTTCATGCCTCTATTCCCTCTGCTAATGCAAACTAATTAAAGTATAAAATAGAATAATTGCTTCCATCCCTATACTCTTTTCCCATCCACCCTGTGTATAGATTTATACTCCTTTTCTAGGAGTGGCCAGCCTGACAAGTTGGGTGAAAACTGGGGCTATCAAGTTTCTTTTCATCTTGTTGCTTGGTTTTTCACTTGGCTCATAGCCTGATTTTCCCTTGACTCGCTGTCTGACTTCCATTACACACTGAGGATATGGGAGCAACTTGTATGCATGCCCATAACATCTGCTGATTCGCTGTCAGTGAAGCTGGGGCAGACTTTCTAGGAAAGAGCCAGGCATCCTCTCAGTGGAGCACCTGGGCAATTAATAGGATTGGGGAATCAGTTCCCAAATTTTCCCCTGGGACTGGCCGGTCTTAGATCTATTAACAGTACATTACCATTGACTTGTTAGGCAGTGACACTAACGACCCAACACTTACTAGTCCTATTTCTTAATTACATTTAATTAATTAATTGAGAGTGAAAGAGAATACATGAGTGCTATATTGGATTGTTCTAGCTCTGTGGGGAGATGAAAACCTCTCTAGGCAGAATGTAAGACCAGAGACTTGGTTTTACTCTCACTATGTGTTCCACTCTCACGGCCCCAAGAATATTACATGTGTCATGTTTGGAGGATGGGTGGGGGAACAGAGAGGCAAGGGTTGGGGCAGGGTGGAAGACAGGGATGAGAGTAGGTTGCCCAGAGATTTGTTTTAGAGCGAAATGATGAAAAACCCATTCCCATGATATCTTAAAAGGTCTCAGGACTTTTAGAGAACTTGAAAGTCTTAAATTGCTGTCTCAAAGTAGGAAAATAGACAACTTACGATGATTCAACTTATGGTTTTTTTACTTTACAGTGGTGTGAAAGCAATACACATTCAGTAGAAATTGTACTTCAAGTATCCATGCAGCCACTCTCTCCTTCACCTTCAGTACACTCTTCAATTCATTACATGAGATATTCAACACTTAATTATAAAGTTGGCTTCGTGTTAGATGATTTTGCCCAACTGTAGGTGAAGATAAGTGTTCTGAGCATGTTTAAGGTAGGTGAGGCTAAGCTATGAGCTTGGGAGGTTAGGTGTATTAAACATGTATTTGACTTACAATATTTCCAACCTACAATGGCTTGAGTAGGAGGCAACCCCATCATAAGTCGAGAGCATGTGTACATATCCATAACCAAACCAGCATTCCAGCTTTCTCTACAATGTTGACCCTTCAGCGAAGATGCTCATATGAGCACATGTGGCCTCATAAATCTCTCCTTAAGAACATTATGCTGACCGGGCGCAGTGGCGCACGCTTGTAATCCCAGGACTTTGGGAGGCCGAGGTGGACGGATCCCTTGAGCCCAAGAGTTCGAGACCAGCCTGGGCAACATGGTGAAACCCCATCTCTATTTCCATAAAAAAAATTTTAAATTGCTCTGGCATGGTGGTTCATGCCTGTAATCCCAGCACTTTGGGAGGCCAAGGCAGGTGGATCACTTGAGGTCAGGAGTTTGAGAGCAACCTGGCCAACATGGCAAAACCCCGGCTCTACTAAAAATACAAAAATTAGCTGTGTGTGGTGGCATGTACCTGTAATCCCAGCAACTCAGGAGGCTGAGGCAGAAGAATCGCTTTAACCCAGGAGGCGGAGGTTGCAGTGAGCCAAGGTCATGCCACTGCACCACAGCCTGGGTGACAGGGCAATAGTGAGACTCTGTCTCAAAAACAAAACAAAACAAAATAAAAAATTTTAAAATTAAAAATTGAAAAAGAGAACACTGCTTTTGGTTTAGTCTCAGGCCCATCTTTTGTGCTTTTGGTATCATCTTCTGGAGAGAGACAGAGCAGAGTCCCAATCCTAGGACCTTAAACAAATTTCTATAAGATCTGAAAGAGACTTTAGAGTTAGATTTATAATCTCCATCTTTACAGATGAGGAAACTGAGACTCTGAGAAGTTGAGGGCCCAGGTTACCCTTGAAGTCAGAGATGGGGCCAGGCCTAGAACACAGATCTCCTGGCTCAGGCTGAGGATGACTGGGTGTGTCATGTCCCCCTGCCCCCTCTTCATCACACACCATCTCTATACTCCTGAGAAATGGGATCATGAGGCATGAGAGCTAGAATGGGCCATATAGAATGTGGCATGTGGGGCAGTATAAAAAGAAATTCCCCCTTTATTGTCTCAGCTGAGCCTCACACTGACCTTGTGTGAGAAACACTGAGGTTAAGTGACTTGTGCAAGGCCATTCAGATAGAGAATGGTGAAATGAAGTCCAAATCATACCCATGGACTTCAGATATGGTGTTATCTGATGCAACTCCTCTCAGCTATAAAAGAGGAACCAAAGCTGTCAGAGGATTCTACTATCAGTGATAACACAAGCTGGACTAGAACCCAGGACATCTGACTTCATTTTGACAGATTATTCTCCTGCCACACATTCAACTGCTTCCTTGGAGACATCTGAGCTGTCTGTGAGTACTTAACTCACAGCCGGCCTCAGACAGATGGGCCTCCTGAGCTGTTCTTGGCTTTCAGCTTTGGACTGAGCCCCTGGTGAAGTCACCTGGCTACCTATTTCTACACAATTTACGGCTCTCCAGGTGACAGGCCTCAGAGCTCCACCACAAATCCCCCTCAGACTTTGCCTCGTAATCACAGCTCCATCTGGTACAGGGAGCTCCCCCTACTAATATTTCACTTGACCAGAGGCAGCCCATGGCATGAAACCCAAATTCTTCCTATCTCTGCTCATCGTGGCTGGCTACTGCTAAACCCCTCTGTTTGGTGTAGACTGTAACAAGAACTGGGTACCTGAAGCAGAAGGTGGGACAGAGGAGGGGTATTTACAGATAAGCTGTGTGGACACTTGGTGTGGCCAGGCTGATGGTCTCAGAGATGGCATCAGATATGGATCTAGGAGGTGATTATATTCTCTGAAACCCACTCATCTGCCTCCAGCCCTGACCCAGCCCCTCTTCTTTGGATACATTTTGAATGCATTTTCAGAAAGCGTTTCATTGGATAAAAAGATATGCAGCTAAAATATATGCCTTGGTACCTTCTCGGTCCCACTAAGGTCTCATTGGTCACTTCTTCCTTCCCACTTTGCTGGGCTCAGAGAATCTAAGAAAGAGCTCTTACCCAGAGCTACCCGCCTGGTCCTCTGCTACACACAGTGCCTCTTGAAAACATTGCATAAAATGTGAGTCTATTTAACCTCTGCTCATCGTTTTATCCACCAATATAGGTTGTCATCTATCTACCTGTCCTTTTTTCTGTATCTATATCTGCATAAGTGCCTGGAATGGTGCTCATCAAATGTTAACATGGTGTTATATTTTGGGTAGTGAGATTTGGTGACCTTCTGCTGTTTTCTTTTCTGTATGCATTGCTTGAATTTGTATAACAAGCGTCCACAATTTTTATTAAACAAATAATGTTTTCCCTTAAAGAAGAACAGGATAAAAGAGCATGTATAGAATTCAATCTGATGTTATTAGGCTATTTGGGTACCTGTCTCTCTCTTGTTAGATTGCAATCAACTTAAGGTAGTGGCTAAGTCTCATTCATTTTGATGATTCCCAGCACTTTGTTCCCAATAAATATGTGCCCAGGAATAGTTCTTTTTAGGCCCACTGACTGTTTCATCGGAATGATAGGTCAGTGTTTATTTCCAAGACTGTCTTACCCACTCTAGGTTAGGCAAAGCTGTCTACAGATCCACAAAATTCCCATCTGGACCTGTTTATACTTCAACGGCAGAGGCCACATGAAAGAAGGTGAAAAAGACAGGTGGGTTCAAGAGGATCTGGATATAATTGGCATGCAATTATCGTATGATTTACGTCATCTGTCCTCAAGAACTAATTTTCAACTCAGAACTGCATCACTGCTTCCCTTAATGCTGTCGTGTGCACACTTATCTCTTCCTTACTTCTTCGCTCATCCCTCATCCCCTGATTCAGACTCCTTTTAAATTAGAAAAGAAAGGAGGTAAGGAGAGCTCTGGAAAGGGTAAGTTTGATCAAGGACACCTGGAACTCTTGCAGAATTCTCTGAGAATGACATGAGCTGGGAAGCAACTTGTGAAAGCTCTCTGGACCTTCAGCTCTACCAGCATCCTTCTCTAGCCTAAGTCAGTGTCCTCAGCTGCTGGGACAGACTGGCAATCCTTTTCCTCATTTCTTTGGCCTTTATTTTACTTACCCTGTTAAGAAAAATGACAAGACCCCTGCTGCTGCTGCTGAACAACTATTAACCCACTGACCGAGTGAATGGAATGTGTCCGGCTTGGCTAAGGTCTTTGCCTAGCTTTCTGGGTCTCTGTCGATCTCATGAATCCCCTGCCTTCCCTGCTTCTCTTTCCCTTCACCATGGCTCTCTCTGCATTTGCCTTCTCTCTACTCACACATATTCACAGGAAATACAGTCTCCATCCATCCCAGAGGGTGGAAGACTTGCTCAGCTGTTTCCCTACAGAGGGTAGAAGTCTATTTCTCAGGGCTTCCCATCTCCATAGGCCTGGTTTCAGCTTCCCAGAGCTGACCAGCTTATACTCTGCACCAGTCTAAGACTCACGCCAAGATTTTTATTTCCTTCTGGGGCCCTGTCTTGGGTCTGCCTCTCCCAGGAGTGGGCCCAGCCCAGAGGCCTGGATTATTTACACCTCTTTGGCTCCCTTGAGCAGCAGACTCTGTGGGCCTGAGAGCAGTAAATCTACCTCCTAATCACACCAAGCTGCTCCACGCAGTCTGGCCTGTTCTTGCAGGGCTGTTCATCACTTACTGAGACAGGGGCTGTGGCCTAGAGTGAAGCCTCCGGGAAGTGGCTGGCCCCCGGCTGCTTCTCTCTAGCTCCCTGCAAAAGCCTACAGGCACTCTGCCTCTCTCAAGACCCCTGTGCTGCAAGCCCAGAGGTCTCTCTTCTTGGACTGAACAGTTTCTGAACAAAGGTGACAGATTATCAGCAGTTTCTTGGAGTTTGGAAAGCAGAGATGGATGTTAGCACTTACCTGTCTCTCAGACATGACGTACAGGTAGCGCTGATCAATGGAGAAGGCCATGTCCCGGAGGATGGGGCTTCCGTCCTTGAGCACAGAGACCATCTCGTACTGGACCCCACCATGGGGGGGACCGTCGGCCCGAATCTGTATGAGAAACAAGGGTGTCCTCAGCATCTGCCCTCAGTATTCCCCTGTGGGCTACCTGCCTCTGCCCAGAGCAGGTAGCTTACAGAAGACCATTGCTAACCCCCAGTCACTACTCCATAGACTGAAGTGCCACTTCTTTTAAACAGCCCAATTTCCACCAAAAGGAATCCTTTCCCAAGCAGTCTGAGTGTTCTGGGCCTGGGATTTCTGACAGTGGATTTATTTGTGTGTGCATATACGCCCTTGGGAATGATTTTGAATATCCCTATGCAGTTATCCTTGTGTGCATGTACATCTATTTATAGCACTGTGTATTGTATGTGTGTGTAAGTGAGTGTGTGCTTATGCACACTCCTTCATGGTGGCTGGGGTGGGAAAGTCAACATCTGTTCACAGTATCTTAGCCTCAGACAAGTATGAAGGAATGGTGAACAATTTATATAAATCATCAAAAAGCTGCTCATTAAGAGATTAAAGATTTTTGGATCCCAGGAGGGTCTTTCAGCCCCCAAACATATGCCCTGACTGTCCACAAATCCACCCTGTGAGATGTGGGGAGCCAGGAATCCTGGCTTAGCCTCTCCAAGCCCATCCTAGGAAAATAAGTCAGAAAGGACTGAGATGTCATCTAGTCCAGTGCTTCTCAGCCCTGGCTGCACATTAGAATCATCTGGGGAGCTTTAAAAAATATGAATGCCAGGGCTACATCCATTAATCACAATCTCTGTGGGTGGGGCCCAGGCATCTTCTTCAGCTTAAAAGCTCCCCGGGTGAATTTAATGAGTAGCCAGGGTCGAGGAGCAGCGAGGTAGTCCTGCAGTTCTCACACTAGTGTGTCCTCAGAATCACCTGGAGGGCTTGGTGAATGCACTGCGAGGCCCACCTCCAGAATTTCTGATTCAGTGGGCATGAGGGCTGAGAATGTACATTTCTAACAAATTCCCCAGCTGATGCTGATGCTGTTACTATAAGGGTTTGAAAAGTACTATCTAGGCCCTTATGTTCAATGCTGACCTCAAAGAAAAGAGGTCCCTAAGGTCATACAAAAAGTTGGTGGCAAGGAGCCCTTGGTCTGAATGTGCCCCATCCCCAGTTTTTCTAGTTGTTAGTTTTCTAGTTTTCTAGTAGCTGACTCCTGACCAATATTCATGACCCCAGCCTGTTTTCACTGTCCTCTGCCCATCTCTAGCTCAAGCCCCACCTCCTCCATGAAGCCTTCCCCATCCTCTCTAATGGCTAATTAATTGCTCCCACTTTGATGCCTTTTTTTTTTGCCAGACATTTTGTCCTAGGATAATCAATTGATTTGTTCATTGTATATATACTAGCTAACATGTATTGACTACCTACTCGAATTGTTCTCTAATTGCTTCAGATGTGCGTAAGTCCTGTCAACATTTTGAAGGCAGGGATATCTTTTCTATTTATCTTATAACCCTCTGAGGACTAGCATGCGACTGGGAACATAGCCGGCAACGGATAAAAGGGAATGCTTGTGAAATGCTTGTTGAAAGAGCGTGAACTGTGCACCAACTGACAGCATATCCTAGACTCCTTAGGGCTGAATCAAAGTGAGGTCAAAAGACATTTTCCCTGGAAGATTTTAAGATTAAGGCTTCTTCTCCCTTACACCCTTTGGATTCTCTCTTGGGCCCTTCATCATCTTCTCCCTCTGCCTGTTTCTCCCTACACCACACTGAGAGCTCCTCAGGCCAAGGCACCATGACTTATTCATCCCAAGTGCCAAGTTCAATGCCTGATGCCACAACAAGTACACTAGCATGGATGGATGGATGGATGTGTTTTCAGTTCTTATTGGCCGAGTGGGGAAGGTCAACAGCACTATTGATTGCAGAGCTAGGGGAGTGGGAGAAGAGCTTCCATTCCTATTTCTCTACTGTCCTGAGAATCTGCATCCTTGAGGAGCTTGAACCAGGGCTTGGTCTGTACCTGTTGGGTTGGGATGGACTCGATGTACATGGGAAACAGACCATGAGTCCATCGTGGGGTGGGAAGCTCTGGCCCGGGGGTCCCCGGTGGTAGAAACAGCAGATTCTTGCCTGAGGCCCTTGTGCTATACCCCACGGATGAAAATGGTAGGTCAGGGTCTAGAGGCAAGGACACCATGTTCTCCTCCTCACCTGCTTTGCTGGGCGACTTGGGGGCTTCTGGGCCTGAACTTAAGGAGGTAACCTCAATGGAACCAAATAAACTCTTCTCACCCATTCCTGTGCCTCATCACTCCCCTTGTGGGACTTTCCCCTATGCTCCGCTCTTGCCCTCTTTCTCCCTAGTGAATGGGCTTCCTGCTGTTCAAGGCTGTTGCCTTGTCATCTATCAGTAAAGCCCCTCCTTCCAGAAATGTTGTTAGAAGCCCATTTGTTTCATTTTCACAGGGTCAAGGGGATTCTAAGAGTCAGCAATGGTGTTACACGGCTGAGACCACCAGCCTGTAACCTGGAGCAATTCTGATGATGAGATTCAAGCAGAAGGAAGAATAAGAGTCTCTGTGTGGGAAAATGCCCCACAGTTAAAATGGTTCTCCTTGACATTCAAAGCAGCATTCTCCCTTAGATAGACAGACCCAAATTTCCATAAGATTCTTACAGAAATATCATAGCTTTTAGTCACAAAAGTTCTTGGGCTATTGCAAGAGGTAGAGGGCAGATGTGATTGCCATGACTTCTGGTTGGCCTGGTCTCAGTTTTCTGTCTCCATAAAATGGGGATTTCAGGCCCTGCTTCTTGCCTGAGTCTGAACTGTGCCCCTCCTCTGAAGGGAAAGTGTCCCAGTGCTTCTCCCACCTTCCCTGTGACAGCTACTCCTCTCCAGGGAGATTTAAGCCTCCTCAAGGTGCTGGCTGCGTCCCAGCAGCTGCAGGGCTGGGTCCCAGGAGCTGCAGAGCCAGGCCCCTCCCTCAAGCCTGGTCTGGGATCTCCTGCCCCAGAAGGCCAGTTAACCCTCTGCTGGCTGGAATAGTCCGCTGTTTTCATGCTAATGGCACTTTAATATTCTTCATCTGCCTTTTCCTACATGTTGGCCTCTACCCTCTCCCAGAGCCTGGGCACTTGCGTGGATTCAGCAAGGCCTGCACACCAAGTCAGAAGAGAGAATGAATGCCATGGTGAGGGCCCTTCCTCTGTGGTCCCTGGGACCAGATGGTACCCGTGGCAAGATTAGAGCTGGAGTTGAACCAAAGACAACTTATCATCACATTGTCTGCTGCATTCGGTCAGGACCAATCCCAACCATTAATATTTTACTGAATCAGAGACCTAATCTGAAGGTTTTTCTTTTTCCCTGTCTGCAACCCCAATCTTTTAATAAGCCAGTTGAAGCCAGAATCAAACCTACATAAGTCTCAAATGTCAGAGGTAAAACCAAACCAGAACAGAAAATGTTGTTGGTACTGAACCCGAACTAAGCTATCCTATTTCATTCAGTCTAAATCCCGGAGAGAAATGTGGTATTGGCCAAGAAGTCTGTGACTCCCCCCACTCACCCCCGATCCATGCTATCTGCCCCAAGATGGAGTCACCTTTCAAGATACGTATAGGGGGTCAGAGAAGATGGAGAGTAGGGGCCAGGAGGCCAGGTCAAGGAGAAAAAGGTGGGGCAGGGGCTGGCAGAGAGAAGGCAGCAGATCCCCTGGGCAGCAGAGGTCTTTCCCCTCCCTTGATCCCCTTTGCTCCCTTAAGGCAACACACCAATGAGTGCAGGGTTTAAGTCTGGGCCTCAGGCCTCCTGGGTTTCCATTCTGACTCTGTTCTTCCCTGGGGCTTGATTTCTGCCTAATGGCACACTTTTAGGTGAGTTACCTCTCTGAGCCTTAGTGTTCCTCTCTGAATAACTGGAAGAAGCAATCTGCTTGGTGCCTATCACAGGAGAATCATAGACTTATAAAAATTACTGGAGCTAATCTTGTCTAAACTCTTCCATTCAAAACTTCCAATCCATGGTGGAACTGGGGTTCAAACCAGCCCCAGCTGGTGGGGTCCAGAGGAAAGCACATGGCTGAGGGGGAGAATGCCTTGGAAGTGACTAGGAAGAAGGCTGCTAATGTAGTTTAAGTCTGTGATTTTTCTCATGTCTCTGTCTTGGATAGGAAATTTTGGGTTTCAAAGCTGTCCTCTGTCTTTGCCAGAAACAGGATGGCCAGTGGTGAGGGGAGTGTCAAGGAGTCCCAAAACAAGAGTGGGATTTTAATAGCCAACCAATTGAGTTTATTCTATGGTGTCCCACAAAGTGACAGCAATAAACTGAACCAGCCCTTGCATGCGGTGCAACACCAAGATGCACAGGTCCCAAAATCCAACCAGGCAGCGGAGGATACTGGAGATGGGGCAAAGGAGGGAGGTGACAGGGACAGGTGGAATGAGTCACTGGAGTGTGTTTTTCTATTTGGGATCTTCTTCTTCTGGGAAGGCTTGACCTCGGTGGAAATGCAGAAGCTACTGGGGCTATTTTGCTTGGACAAGGCTCAGCAGCCAGATAGCACAAGGAACAGAAGAGAGTGACAGTCTTTACTGAGACCAGCAAAAGACAAAATGTGCCTAAACTACTTATTTATTTTAAGACAGGGTCTCACTCTGTGCCACCCAGGCCAAGTGCAGTGGCGCAATCACAGCTCACTGCAGCCTTGAGCTCCCAAGATCAAGCGATCCTCCTACTCAGCCACCCAAGTAGCTGGGACTACAGGTGTGCACCACCACAACTGGCTACTTTTTAATTTTTTTTTTAGAGACAGGGTCTCATTATGTTGCCCAGGCTGGTCTCAAACTCTTGAGCTCCAGTGATCCTCCCACCTCAGCCCCACGAAGTGCTAGGATTACAGGTGTGAGCTACTATGCCCAGCCTAAACTCTGACATGAGGACATTTAGTCTAGCTCTAGTAAGAACCAAAGACTTTACTATAGAATGGGTGACTATAGGAGACTGTAATCTCCTTCTCAGGAGGGTTTTAAACCCAGGATAACCCCTTTTTTTCATGGTTAAATGTGGCCCTGCCTGAAGGCAGTAGGATAGACTTGGATTCTGAAAGGTTCTGTTCACCTAAAGAATTTAATAATAGCTACCACAGTGCTACGTGCTGTCACAGTACTTAACAAAAATGAACTCATTTAACACTTCCAAGCATTCCTGAGGTAAATACTATTTTAAATCCCATTTTATAGATAAAAACTCAGAGGCACAGGAGAGTTAGGCAACTCTCTCAAGATCACACAGCTGGAGAGTGGCGTAACTGAGATTCCCAGCTAGAGCCTGAATTCTCTGAAGAGGGGGCTAATAATGGGCAAACATAGCTGCCCTTGCTGCTGAGCAGAGTAGATGGGTCATCTAAAAGTCCAAATTTCCCCCTCATCCACTCTTCCCCCTTTAGGATCCCAAGTTCAAAGTGGGACAATCTCCTATTTCCTGGGGACAACAGTAAACTCAGAACCTAATTTTTGGGGGCCTTACCTGGGGGATAAAACTCAGTTTATCAGGGCTGGCTTTGGGGCAGGAGCGTGTGAGGTAAAATCCAGCAGAGATTTAGCGTCCAGTCCTCCAGTTGAAATGAGAATGAAATAGTAACCCCATTAGTACCTTTCCTTTAAATCACAGCTATATCTGGACAGAAATTAATGTCAGCTTCTTTTCTTGAATATCCAATTCCAATCAGCATATCCAATTAACTCGCTTACCTGCAGCCCCCTCTAAACTCCTTTTCTTGTGCTTCGATTTCTTCTCTAGTTAGCCCTAATTTATGGAGCCCTTTGGTACTCTAATATCACATTATTATTAGTAGTAGTAGCAGTAGCAGTAATAGTATATATAGGTTTTCTGCAAGAGCTGTGGAAGAGCAGAATTGGGAATCTTCTTCTTGGGTTTCTTAGTAGCAAAGAGATTGGTTTGAAAGGCATCACCACACAGAAGGAAGCACTGGATCATGTCTGCAGGGCTGGGATTTAATCCCAAGGTTTTCTTTCATTGGCTGTGTGACTTCAGGCAAGTCATTTCACTTGTTTATGTAATAGTTTCTGTAGCTGTCCCATAATGGTGGGACATAATGGTCCTTAGCTCAAAAAAGATATTGTGAATGTAAAATGAGTTATTAGCTATGAATGTCAGTACTGTCCAATATTGATTTATTATGTGCCTACCATGAGCTAGGCCTGCGTTAGGAGCTGCAGATACGTGATAAAGGATAAGGATCCCCTCAGGAAGCCCGGTGATGGGGAAATGGACAATTTGTCTGGTCTTCATGAACACAGGGGTCACCCCTTGTGAGAAGAGGTTTGCATGGGGGTCCCAGGGAGACCAGCACGGGGGGCGGAGCAGCATCTCACCTGGCCTGAAGGAGGCCCTGAGGGGGTACTTCCTGGAGGAGGTGAGGCCTAAGCCAAAATGCAGGAGTGGAAATGTGGGTTCTTTGGAAAACGTACAGTGTAATATAAATATAAAGCTGTTCTTGTTATGCCTGAGCTCAGATTTCTTAGAAACTTGGTCTCTCAGACCTAAGCATTTGGAGAGGATGAGACTTTTGACACAGAGTTATTGAGCGCTCAACATCACTCTCAGCAGGTCTCAGCATCTGGCGTCCTCAAATTCACTTCAGAAGAGGCCTTTATCACTCGCTTCTACCTCTGTTCACCTAAGGACCCTATGCTTTTGTGGTCTATTAACATATATGTGGCATGTGAATGTGTATGTGTGTGGCATGTGTGGTGTGTGTACATATGTGGTGTGTGTATGAGTCTGTTGTGTGTATGTGTATGATGTGTATGTGTTGTGTGTGTATGAGTCTGTTGTATGTATATGATGTGTGTTGGATGTGTGATATGTATGTGTGTGGTGTGTGTAAATCTGTTGTGTGCATGAGTGTGGTGTGTATGTGTTGTATGTACATGGATGTGGTGTGTGTATATGTGGTATGTGTGTATGAGTCTGTTGTGTGTATGAATGTGGTGTATATGTGTTGTGAGTGTGTATGAGTATGGTATGTGTTGTATGTGGTGTATGTATGTATGGTGTGTGTAAGTCTGTTGTATGAGTATGGTGTATAGGCACTGTATGTGGTGTGTGTATGCAGTATGTGTGTATAAGTGTGGTGTGTGTATAAGTGTGGTGTGTGTATATTGTGTGTGTGTGTGTGTTCAGACCTTTAAGGAGGTGAAAGGTGGAGAGGGCCTGGTGCTGCTGAGGCTGACCCTGGGAGTGAGTTAATGAGAGTGTATCTGGAGTTGAGCATTTGGTGCTGCGAGAGAAGATTCAAGCTGAAGATTATTTTTGTAGAGCTTCATGACCCGAATTATTTATAGATTTAAGTCTTTGGTAAATTCTGTCTCTGAGACTCTTCCTCCCTCTATCCTGTACATACATTCACACACTCACATACACATACACACACACTCTCTCACATACGCATTCAACAGCAGCAACAGCAGCGGTGGCAGTCCAGGGTGCCTATTGCTGGCCCCGCCCTCTGAGCTGTGAAAACATTAACTAAGCTTGCAGAGTCAAAACTCAGCAGGCTGAGGCTCCCTGGAGGACAGCTAGGAGCCTGGCCCTAAATGCTTGGCTAATTGGACGGGGACGCAGGAGCCTGGAAAACTTGGCCCGTGGTTTGCACTGAGCTAGCAGAGGAGAGGAAGAAGGGAAACAGGGATAAGGGTCTCTCTTTTCCATGAAGGGGAAGGAGGTTGTTAAGATGTTCTAAGATTTGAGAATTTCTGCTGCTCCCACCCTTACACACACACGCACATGCACACACACACTGCTTCCAGCACTGGTCCCCAATGAGTTGTTGGTCAATCTTCGGTTAACACTGGAGATTGACATTTCCATGTACAATTATTTCTATTTCTGTCCATGTTAAGAGTCTGCCCTAGATATTCAACTAGGGGTGGGTGGAGCTAACAGCGGGGTGCATGGGGCTAGAGAGTCCTGGATTTCAGGGGGCCAGGCCATGGAGATCTTTCTCCTGGAATGTAGGGAGGAGTCCCCAGAGGACTCACTTGTTCTCTGGACTTTTGCATCTTGGGACAGTATGAGAATTAATAGCCTGGCTAGTAAGGATAGTAGCTGTAGTGACTATTTATTGAGCATTTACTATGAGTAAGGTCAGCGTTCAAGGGTTAGGGTGGGGAGATTGGCTGGTGAGGATCTCCGGAGACCAGTTTTCTGTTTCTAAATTGTGGCGTCTCTGCTCCCTCATCAGACAAGGGTGGATGAGGATGGCCAAGCCATCACTGGTCTATGCTGCTCGTAGAACTAAGAGGAGTGGCCCCTGCTCCATGCCTTCCTACAGTTAATGACAAACTACACTCACAAAGGCACCAAGCACCCCATCTCTGGGGCCTCTCCCTTTGCTACTCATGAGAGAATGACACAAAGAGCTAGAAGCAAAAAGAATCCAGACCTCTGGGTTCTACTCTTGGAGAATTTTGAACTCCAAGGGCCAGGACAAGAGCTTATGAGAGGTGAATTACACTGGGTGATTCAGGAACACGGGGCTCAGGCCTTAGTCCAACCCCACCTTTAAACACTGCTCCAGCTTTAGGCTTGGGCAGGTCAGGAGGCTGAGGGAACAAGACGAAGCTGCCAGGGGCGGAGGAAGCATTTGATTGTTCTGGGAAACAATAAGATAAACACAGTGGAGACAGCCGAAGCATTAAGCAGCCTCAGATGAAATCAAATCATGCAGAAGCAAAGCAATAATTCACATGGAGCACACAGAGTTGGGGGTGTGTAGCTGGAGGGGTGGTAGGAGGAATTAATACAGAATAACGAGGAACTTCTGCCAAATCTGAACCTTTGTTTACCCCAAGTTCTAGTAGTGTGGGCACTCGGAATCTCCATTCAAGGCACTGCACACAGGTTCCTTTCCTGGAGATGCCCTGGTTGTTTCAGGATAGAATTGAACCTCTTAGGCTTTTTGAACTGGAATGATTTAGAGCCACTCTTTCAGGTCTGTGGGGAGTGCAGGGCAGCCTTTCTCACCAAGCTCTGGAATAGGGTGTGGTGAGAACTGATGGAATTAGGCATATCGACAGGTTAACTACCTTGGAAATGCCTGTCTCACTCCTCAAAAGGGGGCAGGACAAGGAAACTAGCACTTCCTGGGACTGGATATACATGGTGCTTTCGAATAGCTTCTCTCTCTTTATAAGTTTAGTTCAACACATTTATTGAGCATCTATTCTATGTCAACCCGTGTGCAAAAATTCAGGGATATAAACATGAATACTCTTCAAAACTCTGAGGTAGGCATTCTCATTTTATAGAAAAAGACATGTTAAGTGTCTATTGCAGGATCACACAGCTAGAAAGTGGCAGAGTGAAACTCGAAGCTGAATCTGTCTGATTCCAAAGCCTGAACTCTTTTATTCTGCCTCCCTCCAGAGCCTACGCTTTCTCTAAGTTAAACAGGAGGACAATGCCTACATTAGGACTAAAAACTACATTTAAAAAGCACTGGGTGCCTCTGGAGATAAGTCCTGGGGAACAAAATAGATCATATAGCTGTCTCCTCCACTGTGACAAAGAAGGCCACCTGCAGTCTGGAGAAAGGAGCAAAGGATGGGGTGTTTAAGAGGGTTATTACTCTCTTTAATTAATTCATTCTTTTCTTTTCTATGGCCTGAGATTGCCCTGCATTTTATAATCTGGAACAGTAATCTTTGCTTTCATTAACACTGAGGATGGCATTTCCAGCTGTAGGGATGGGAAGGGAGGTCGAGAGCGCTAAGCACCATTATCTGACACTGGACTTGTGCCTAAATGCAGGAGACTCCCAGAGATTTTAAAAGAAGTCATTAAAAACACACACACACGTGGCATGTGCCCACCATGGTGCAGAAAAGCCATGGTAACCGAGAGAAATGGAGCCTACAACCATGCCATCGAATCTCTCTTCCCATTGCTAGTGCGCTGGGGCTGAGTCTTTATTGCCTCTTATCTGGGCTACTGCAATAACCTGAGAAATCTCCCTGCCTCCAGCATATTCTTGTTCTAATCTATTCTACCAAACACTGCCAGATTAATCTTCTTAAAACACTTGTTCGATCCTGCCTTTTCTGTATGCAAAATCCTTAAATTTCAGGTGTTGGTAATTTTCTTTCTCTTGCTTAACTCAGTCTCCTAATTTTTTTATGATGAACATACACTACTTTTGGAATAATGAAAAAAGTAAATCATGGCATGTATTCATGCATACACATACACACACACACACGCACACACACACACACACACACACACACACACACACCACCTTCAATTGTCCCCTTTAATAATTTAGAAGAGTTCATACTCCTCAGTTTGTCATTCAGGAGTCTAGCTAACATGGCCTTCTCACCATTTTCCAATTGCATCCCCAGCTTTTTCGTCTTCACGCCTTTGCTTGACAATTTATTCTACCTCCTAGATCCTAACCATCCTTCAAGGCCTTATCCAAATGCTACCTACTCCACGAAGCCTGCACCAATCTTTCCTTGGAACTCCCATAGCACCTAGAATGTCTCTTGGCACAGTTACTTGTAAACATATGCAGTCATCTTTCCTAAGATATTCAGGCTCCTGGAGAAGAAACCATGCTTTGTACAGCTTCGTATGCCTTACTACACTTGGTACTGCCCTGCACACAGTAGGCTCTCAGTAACACAGGCTGATGGCATGAAGGAATCCCTGTTGCTGAGACTGGGCAGGAGTAGAACTTTACTCATGGCTCACATTGACTGAACTCCTATTATTGTTTGATGTCATGCTAAAGGCTTTATGCACATTTTCTCATTTAATCCTCACAACAACCTAATGGGGTAGGCGCTACTATTATCCCTAAGGCTGAGATGAGGAAACGGAGGCATAGTAGGGTGAGGTAACTTCCCCAAGGTCACAAAGCTGGTAGGCAAAAGAGCCAGGATCTGAACTCTCTTGGGTCTTCATTTCTCTAGGCCTCTGTTTTTCCATCACTAGAGAAAAATGAGTAGAGAAAGAGGGAATCTTGTTCCATGCCATCCCAACCACCCGGAATCTTCTGGAACCTGGCGTGTAAACACCTATCCACATTTGTTTCTGTCGAAATGATCTTTTCTGGCTCCCCAGTGGGCTGGTGAGAGCTCTTAGGAGGAAAGTAGTATAAACACTCAAGGTACTGCTATGAAAAGGACTCCAGGACCACTAAGCGGAAAGCCTGCTGGCTCAGACAGGTGGAAAGCAAGAATTGAGGTTACGAAGATGAGGTCAGAGTTGGGGTCTGAGGAACAGGGTAAGAGGAGAAGGGAGGGAAGGGAAGTCAAGCCAGAAAGCCTCCATCCCTTGCAGTCCCCGGCAGCCAGCCCAGGGGTACCCTGTGTGCTCTGGTCTGCCTGACTGCTTGGCAGAGCCCAAGGGCAGAACAGACAGCTGGGGGAGGGTCTACCTCTTTTAAAAGATTCTGTTTGAATAGCTGTCATCTTCACACCTTTTCCCATCTCCCCTCCCAGGAGAGGGGCTTTAATAATGAGCTGCTTCATGAAAACAGGCCCCTAATTAATTCATTGCTATTCTTCTGGGGCCAGATCATTCTAATCAAGGTGGGGTGGGGGTGGGGTGGTGAGTAAGGATTGTCTCGATCTGCTTGTTCTTCCATGGACTCTCTTTGCTCCCTGCCATCACTGCTCCAAGACCCTCCCCGGTCACCTTGTTCTCTTTGGCTGGACACCTGCTTGTCCTCAATGCCCACCCCCTTTTTGTGCTAACGCCCCACAGCTGCTGGGCAGAGTGCCAGCGTGAAGACTCTGCTGGTGCTGGGTACAGTACAGCAGGTGCCCGGATCTCACCGCAGAGTGGGAGGAAGAGAAGCAGGGCTTGGCCCTGTGAGGAAGGAACTTTGTCCTGCCTTTTCTCTGAGCATTCTCAGAATATCCAGTGGGCTCAACGGTAGGCAAAGTGCAGCCTCTATTCTTCTCCTTAGGACTCCCCAAGTCCTCCTGGCCCCTGAGAAGTTGGCACTACCTAGGATTCATGTGCTGTTGGGCCTGGACAGCCACATCATCGCACCCAAAAAGTGGCAGTGGCTGCAGAGGATGTGCATGGATGACCAAGGACTAAGACCAAGGGAGCTACACTAGGGCCAACTCAAAACAAAAATAACTTTAAAAAAATTCTCCCCTCTCCAAGTCAGATCACAGCAAGAGACGATGGAAGTGAGAGATTGTACAAGTCTCGCCTTGGGCAGTCTCTTCATAGATTTTTTTTGATTTCCTTTCTAGATCTTCCAAGCTCTGCATTTCCATCTTCCCTTCCAATAGACATTGATTGTCCAGCGAAGGCTGATGTCTAGCTCACTGGGGTGGAGGCCACGCAGGGGCACTCAGCCAAGGGAGTTAATTCTCACTTTCCTCATCTACAAAACTGGTAACACAACATGCCAGCATGACAAGGCAGCGGCGGGAACAAATGAGATAAGGAATGTGAAAGCATTTGGGAAACTGGAAAGGAAAGCATGAAAGAGGGATTTTGGATTGATTTATCTCTGATTCATAGACTTGGGTGGGACCAGACTGAGGAGGAAAATTGGGCTGGGAGGAAATTCTTCAGGGGGACATGGGGGAAATTAGTACCTCCTCCTCTGTCCTTTCCAAGGGAGCAGGACTGCGGGGAGGAGGAGCGGGAGGCAGCAGAGGGTTAGCAGGTGCATGGAGCGCGAACCCCTTGCATAGTGGCCGTTCCAGCCTGCTTTTGAAGGCAGCCTCTCTCAGAGCAAGGAGGAGTCGTTTGACTAGGGTCTCCACAGGACCGGTGCTGGGGACACAGAGGGCCGCAGTCACTGGGCCGAAGGGATGGCAGCCTTCTGTCTCAGACCCTTTTCACTTTGTGAAATAGAGAAAAGCAAGGGGGAGGCTCCAGTCCTTCACCCACAGAGAGAAGGCAGCTCGGGGCAAACCTACCCACTGCTAATATGCTCCTTAAAAAGTGCTGAAAGGAGCTATAGCCTGGCTTTTGTGTAAAGTACTAAAGCATCCCTCATTCTGCCCCTCCCACACCCCCACTCTTCTAGGATTTTTTTCTCTTAAAAGAGTGCTCCACCTCTCCAGGGACTGGAGTCATTAACTGAACAGCACTTTGCCTCTCATAGCTTTTGACAATTTGGCAGTAAGTTGGAAAGTACCAGAGAAACTGCAAAGAAGCGGAGGTGAGGATGGGGAGGGCAGGACCAAGGGGATGTGCCTGGAGGACCCGCCTGGGGCCTACCTGACTCCTGGCCCAACACCCGGCTGCACTGGACTTGTCCCACCCTCCCTGCCCAGCTCTGGCTCATGGGATGCTGAGCTCTGGCTCATGGGATGCTGGGCTCCAGCTGTCACAGGGGTGTGGTGGGGTGTGCAGGGGAGCATCACATGGCTTCCCATCTTCACCCCCTCTTGCTATAGCCTGGAGGCTGCCTGGGTCTGGCTGACAACCAATCTGGACAAAGGGATCCCTCCAGGAAATGTGGGAGTTAATGCCCTTCATTCTGCCTGACACCAGGACCTCCCCATGAAGCGCAGTGAAGGAGTACCTGAGGCTTAAGGAAAGGAGAGCCTATGTGGCTGGTGAGGGAGGATGGCCTAAATAATGACCCTGGGGCAGCAAAATCCAAGTCCTGGGCATTTCCTAAGTGGGGAAAGCAGGGTGAAAGAAAGGAGGGTTATGGATTTCCCAGTCAAGTTGTGATATAAACAGATCAAAGGGAGAGGTTTCTCGGGTTCCTGAGATGACCTATGTTGGAATATTTCCAGTTCAGCTTTAGACATCCTGACTATTAGGAAGCGAACGGCTTTGGGGGCATTCATCGAAAGAAGTAATGAGTCTTCAGCTTCCCTGGAGTGGATCGGAAGACTCTTGCTCCTCTCACCCCACTAGGAACTCATCCCTATTTAACAATCCTAGAATGTGAGCATAGCTATACTATTGAGCACATGCTACGAATTGGACATGACGCCAGGCATCTTATGTAAATGATTTACATGCAAATCATTTACAAAACCCATTTCACTGATGAAACCCAAAACCCATTTCACTGATGAAGAAACTGAGGCTCAGAGAGGTTAAGTGACTGCCTTAGGCCACACAGCCAGCCAGTAGTAGAAAGGCATGCAAACGAGTCAGTTTGATTATAAAATCTTTTATTAATCCATTTACTTCCCTAAAATACACTCACCTTTGTCTTGTGTATAATGTTAACATCTTACTGTCTGTCATTTTAATGCTCTTATTCTGCTGTCTGAGCCTCATCTAAGTGCCAACATAAATTATAAATTCCCAGATGTAGAAGTTGAATCTATATAGTTCATTTTATTCAACTTTTAGCAGAGTGCCAAGCATGACAGGGTGCTTAAAAATTGCATTCTATACTTGAATCAAGTGAGAGCTCCAGAAAGCCGTAAACTTGGACCACAAAAGCCAAACCAGCAAGCTTCCTTTTCCCTCACAGCCTCATATACTTATTTTTCAGCATTTGTTACTCCATAAGAATAACACATCGAATGCTGCTTGTTGCATGGAAGTCACAGCCTTGGCACTTTGTCAGGAGCTAATACAAGAAATTGCCATATAAAAGAAGCATCTGATTTGGATGTCAAACTCTTGTCCTGGTGTCTGTACAGGTCTCACATGATAAATAATTTACAGAATGTAATGTCTGGGAAATGTCCTGAAAAGTAGGGACACTGCCTTCTCTCAAAGTGTAAAGATTTCTTGCTCATTTCATTTCCCTTTATGACTTGGCTGCTGGGACACTCAGGCCAAATCTCATGCTGGATCCTGGTGCCTATGTTGACCTTCTTGGTAACATATGTGTTTCTACTCCCTTTATGGCTTGGCTTTTCTAGTTCTAAGACAGTTATCATTCCATGTTGGCCAAATCTTTTATTGTAAGTCATCTTAATTCCTTCTTTGGAAAGAAGTGAGATATGAATACACACAAATAATTATGCTCAGGTCTTTTCTTTGTACCCTATGAATCTGTACCTGTTGTACATTGCCTCAAAATATTCTCAGGTCTTTTTACTCTGTGCTTATATCATTTGCCTCTTTAAGGAAGAGTTGGCCAGTGGATGTTTCTGAGTGAGGGTCTGGGCTACTCTCAGGATGTTGTAAGTGAGGGGCTGGATGACAGGGGTGAGGTGGGGAGATACCACTCAAAATGGAAAGCCAGTGGTTGATTTGTATTCCACTGCACTAATAAAAATTCATAGACTCCTGGGAAGAGTAGCTGTGTAAGGTTCCGGGTTCAAGTTCTGGGTATTTGAGAACAGTGTGCTTGTAAGGAGAGCCACGGGGGTGGAGGAGAAACTCCTATGGGTCTGGCCCATAATAAAGCTCTGTAATTATTTGTAAAATGGAAGAATGAATGAATAAATTAATGAATGAATGCTTTTCTGGCCAAGAGATTCTTCTCATAGGAGAGAAGGCAAGACTGTTTGGCAGAAAGCCCCATCTTCAGGCCACAGAGGAGACTCAAGATCACTAGGAGCCCAGCGGAGTCCAAGCTTTCCACACCATCCTTGTCCCCAGCCAGGCCAAAGCATTCCTCACTGGCACCGTGTGCTGTGAAACCAGGCCAGTGTGCTGGACACCAGGGGAAAGAGAGTGGGAAGTGGGAAAGAAGGAAGGTAGGAAGGAGGGAGGACAGAAGCCTAGGTACAGCTTCTGATGCCTTTCTCTTCTTCCCCGTTGAAAGAGACAGTCACATAAATACTAGTCCACAGTGAGTGTGGGGAGAGAAATGGTGGTCTCTAAACCTGTGTCCCTCTGTCTGTTTTTACTCAAAATCTCCTCTTAACACCCACCTGCGTCTCTCTTTCTCCTTCCCTTCCTTGTCTCTCTCCCATCAATCCCCAGATCTCTCCATATACATTGTTTCTTTCTCTGTGCTGTCTCTACTTCTTTCTCCCTGTGTCTGTCTCCTCTCTCATACATACACATGACCTCTCCAAGATTCCCAAAAGAGAAGCTCCTCAGAGACCTGCATTTCCCCCTGTCTGCCCCAGACTCCAGAGGCAGTTAAGGGCAGAAGACACCAGCCCCAGAGCATGGGGGCTCTACCACCTCCCAAACTGACCTGTGCCCAAACCTGGACTTTCATTCTAATCCCAGTGGCCTTGCCGACATCAGTTGGACTAATTTTTTCCTGTAATTAAAAGGAACACCCCCCAACTCCATCTCTAATCCCACATAATTAGCTCTCTGATTGCCAGTGCTGGGCAGGAAACCTCCTGTTTGGAGAGGGATTTTGGACAGAAAGATTAGGCAAACACTATGCAGGAAGCTGCGCTGGGAAAACAGGCTGTTCTCAAAGTTTGTTGTTAAAAGAGATTTGTGGTGGGCAAAAGGGCCTGATTCCCTACAGGTGGTCTGAGCTGCCTCTGACCCTGTCGGGTTCTCCAACAAATGGGTCGCTTTTCTTGGCTTTCAAGATCCTCCCTGTGGTGGAGCCCTGCAGTGGGCTCTATCTCCAGCACATGGGGCAAGGAGTATTCCCAGGAAGCACATTCCTTCCTGCTCCCAGGGAGGACTGTGCTTCTCTGCATGGGAGAGGGAGGGAGAGCCGCATAGGCATCTACCCCCACAGGCTAGCTGGGCGATGGTCAAAGGTTACTGAAATATGGCAGGTGACAACAAAACCACCATGACTCCAATCAACCTAGGGAGTGGGAGAAATGCCAGGAAAATGGGGAAACCCCTTCCCTAGAGGCTCTGGGGAGGGCTCCTCAGAGCTGGGCATTGATTCTCCCAGCCAATGTTGTCCTTTGTCCATCTAACAGGCACTGCATTATCATCTGCTAGGCTGAGGGTATGCTGAAGGTAATGACATTTTGTTTGTTTCTATCACCTAATTTTTCTTTTTTGATCTTCATGATCATCCTGTGGGGGGAAGTACCTTCCCATAGAAGAGGAACTGAGTCCTGGTGAAAGCACACAACTCCCTCAAAATCACCAAGCAAACAGCTGGGGAGCCTATGCTAAAGTACCAGGCTCCAGGAAGACGGCTGCCCCTGCTCTTTGCACAATCCCACGTCCTCCAGCTCGTGCTCTTTCTGTCTTGAGAGTCTGGGCATTTAGGATGTTGGAGTCAGAGGAGACTGGGGACACCAGCCATCCAAGGGGATTTAGGACTCTGACAGCCAAGGGCTGGTCAACTCCTCTGTGAAGATCTGAAAGTCTGGTGCTACCGTGACGCCCACTTGCAATTCTTGCTGACATGGACTGGAGCTGGCATTCTCAGGCCCTCTAAATAACCTCAGGAGGGCCGGATCTCTGATGCTGCTTCGCCATCTCTGTACTACTCAAAGCCGTAAGATTATTCACTCTGGTTCTCAGAGAGGAAGGGGCAGGAACTGAAGCCAGGGGCTGGTGAGTGGGAGGGTGAACCTGTGCTTCCAGAGCCAGGGAGGGACAGCAGGGGCTGGTGGGCTGGCACTTGGGGGATTTTACAGCCTGCTGGTTGAGGTGCCTGGCCCTGCTCCTCCACCATGGCTTCTGCAGTGAGCTCAGGACATGGGGGAGGGAGCCAGGCCATGGATGGATTCCAGATGGGCTATCAGGTTTGCCCACAGTCGACTGTAAGGCTCCTCTGGTCTCGGCAGCTCCCTCAGCTCTGATTCAGCTGCACTCGGAAGGCCTGCTATGGAATGCCAGTGAAACCCAACCCGTCTCTCCCACCAGAGCCTCCCTCACTCCTTCTGCTACCAGAGATAGATAGCATGTTTTTTCTCTGTCCCTTCTTCCCTTCATTAGTACAACCCCCCCCGCCCAGAAGTAGAAAGGGTTATTGCGGGGAATTTAGTTGACAGCTGGGCCTCTGGCTCTGGAGCTCTGAACTATTTCCCCCTGGGAAGAGTAGCTGTATAAGGTTCTGGGTTCAAGTTCTGGGTATTTGAGAACAGTGTGCTTGTAAGGAGAGCCACGGGGTGGAGGAGAAACTCCTTGTGTCCCTCTGATTGCCAGATCAGTCTAGCTGGCCCTGACCCAGGCATGGGAGGGAGGAACACAGAACTAGGTAGAACACGGCAGCCAGATATCTGATACTCAACAGCATCTCATTGTTGCGTGGCTTCCACACAGGAACGTCATCTCATTCAATCTGCCCAACAGGCTGGAAGAAAGACAAGCCTTCTTTATCCCCAATCTGCAGACAGATATACCAAGGCTCTGAGAGGTTTAGAGCACAGATTTGGTTTTGGTCTCCTGAATCTTGCCATAAACATTTTTGAGGACCTGCTATGTGCTAAGGATAGCATTCATGCTCTGGGGCACAGAAACAAATGCAACACAGATCATGCCACAGAAACCAGTGCTGTTTTCCTATGTCACATAATTCATAGATTAATTATTCTCAGAGAGGGCCCACTGGGCCTTGTACTATAATAGACTTTTACACGTCCCCATCTCTCCACTGCTATTTTAAAAAGATCAAGTTCATTTCTACCTTGTAGAGACAGGAAGGAATTACTGCAAGTGGCATGAGGGAATCACATCAGGATTTCCTGCCTCAGTTTCCCCTTTGTTATCAAAATTCTGCTTTCTGGTGATTTGCTTCTGGAGTTTTCAGAATATTCCATCTCAGCCTCCTCCACCCAGAGCTGCTGCTCCTAGTCGCCCAGGTCTGCCTTGGATCCTTTGTTAATGACTGGCAGGCTGGAGGTGATGTTGCCTTATCAGGGTTGATTAGTTGGGCTGAAATTTACATTTTGCTTCAGAAAACCAGTCTGGAATCTCTGGCAGAAAGCAGCAGGGATCCAGCTTCAATAGAGAATGCCCCTGAGGCCCAGGCATTTGAATGAACCACAGAAGCCTTTTCTACCCTCTCCCTCTCCTTCCTCAATCCCCTTCTCACCTCTCCCCTCACACCAGAAGGCTGGTGAACTGCAGCAAAGGGCTCTCTGAATGTGCTTGCAGAAGAAAAGGCTTTATTTTATTTTTTGCTTCTTCAAAGAAAATATGAAGCTCCCTCCAGCCTCTCTGGAGAATCAGCTAGGGAACAGTCTGTCTCAAAATGCCATTAAAACATCTCTCAAATTAAAAACAGTCCTGAAATGTGCAACTTCACGAGAGAGTAGATTACTAATACGCAAATGGTGGACTCTGACCACCTGAGGGCACGGACGAGTGGCCAAGGCTCTGTCCTATGGTGCACGAGTGTCCTTGGGCAGGACATTTAGCCTCTCTGAGCCTCAGCTTCATCCCATTAATAATAATAAAAAAATTGTTATCTTCCTCCTCCTTAATTTCAGGGTGCTTTGGAGGGAGAAGTGGTCCTGTTACTCTCAGAGATAACGGTCTTGGTTCTCATCACATTCATCTCCAGCCTCTCTCCCCTGCCCTCCCTTTTTCTCCACAGTCATGGTGCTATTTTAAGTTGAGGCTTCCAGCCAAAATCTGTACTTTATTAATTACGCGTCAACTACTCTGTGTCATGTTTAATGCATTTTCCAGATTGTATTGAATCCACAGTAAAAGGAGGAGTCTGAATGTGGCCTGGGTGCCTGGCAGGGTAGGTGCTGGGAGGAGAGGGGGAGCAGGAGCCAGCCTGTGTGTGCCTCAACTTGATCTCTCCCCTTCTTCGCCCTGGAGTCTCCATTGAGGCCAAGCGTAAATCCTGCTTGTAGCTCCTTAGAGCTCTCTATTTAAAGAACACGCAGCACCCTGTGTAGAAGCACAGCACCCTGATGGGAAGGTAGAAAAACCTGCCTCATTAGGAAAGGCCAAAGGGCTCAGGACAGCTGACATCCATTAGCAGGAAGGGCAGAAGGCTGAGGGTGATTGGAAAATGTGACTCAGTGATATGCCAAGGGAAGACTGGAGATGACACTGACCATCTGTTCTTCTCCAAAGAGGAGGTAGAAATAGCATTTGTATTGGAGCAGGAGAGATGTGAGCTAGACCTGGGTATTACATTCCTGACTGCTAGGTTTCCAGAGCTGTTTCTAGCTGTGTGATTTGGGCAAGTCCTTCAGTTTATTGGGCCTCAGTTGACTGATATATAAAATTAGCATTTACTCAAGGTGAGCCCTGAGGTCCTTTCTAGCTTTGGCCCTTTGTGCTTCTTTCTTTGAGGAGACTATGGGGAGAAGCAGAATCTTTTTAGGGGAGTACAAAGATGAATCCTGCATGCTTCTTGATCTCCAGGAGTTCACAATCAGGCAAGGAAGGCAGATAAACTATGAAATAAACATAATAACAAACAGGTACTGTTCCGTGTGCTTTACCTGTATGAAGACATTAAATGCCTACAATAGCTCTATGAGGTAGGTCCTGTTATTATCTCTGTATGCCTGATGAAGAAAGTAAGGCATTGAGAGGTTAAGTAGCTTGCCCAAAGTCATACTCCTAGTAAGAACAGAGCCAGGTTTTGAGCTCAAATAATCCCACTCCAAAGTCTGTGACATTCACCACTGTGCACACTGCCTCTAACAAAGAAATACAAGCAACTCACATACAAGGCTGACTCTGCTAAGTGCTGTAACCAATGATAAGAAATGTGGGATTATAGAGGGGCAAATCAGGAAGGCTTCACTGAGGAGGTGTGATATAACTTAAACCTGAAAGGACAGGGCACTTCATCAGGCAGAGAGAGGGAGGCATGGCAGGGACAGCTTGAGTCAAGACATAGGCATGGACTGACCCTTGAGCCAAGGCACAGGGGCACTTAGGGAAGAGGGAGGGATTGGCAAAGCTGGAAGAACAGGGTGTGAGTGTGGCAGAAGTGGCATGGGGAAGGGATGTAGGGAGGGATAAACTGTTTCTGGTGGAGGGATGCCAAGACCTTGCTCAAGAGACTCAGCTATACCCTACCTACAAGCTGCGGAGAGCCATTAAATGATATAAAAAATGTGAAAGCTAACTTAGAGAAGGCAGGGCAGGAGCCAGCACAAGTTCAAGAATAGATAATAAAAGTCTCAGCCTGGGCTGGGGGAGGGAGGTGGAAAGGAGGGCAGGTGAGGGAAAAGATGAACAGACAAGATTTGGCAGCAAACTCAATGTGGGAAATGAGAGAGAGGGAGCAGTATGGGAGTTAGAGAGCTCACCTTTGCCTGGGATGGCTGGTGGGAAATGTGGATGGGTGGCCCCAAGGGGCATGGGGTAGGGAGCTCTAAACTGTGCATATTAGGGATGAGACAGAGAGGCTGACAAAGCATTTACAATTCAGCTTAAATATTGCTTCCCCAGGAAGCTTTTCCTGATCCCTTTTCTCCCAGTAGTTCTGGTTCCCTAGTTACAGGTTCCCATGCTGCTTATTGAACTTTGGACATCTCTACAACACTGGCCAGCCATGTAATAAGCAGTTATTTGTGCAACAACTTGCTGGTGTCCTTTCTCCCAACCATCCTTTGTTTTGTTGAGTTTGGTGTCCCCAGTGCTGAACACAGTGCCTGGCAAGTCGATGCTCCATAAATTCTTGCTAAATGAATTGATGATCTCTGCCTCTGGGCCAGATGCCCTTCTCCCACTCTTGGATGTCAGCATGTGGGGGGCTTCTCATCACCACCCCCACAAAGGGGCCGCTTCCCCCCATGGAGCACAGGAAGGCAGGTGTATTCATGTGTTCACCTGTCCACTCTGCCCACACTTGTGGGTTCTGACGCTTCCATACAGTGTTGCCGCATGGCAATAATGAACAATTTAGCATGGAAATTGACCTTAGCAGGAAGGGGCTGGCATGTGTGTGCCCCATTAGAGAGCATTTGGTTAGGGGACACCTTTAGCCCTGCAGGCTACAGGGGAAGACTTCTGTGATTCCCCTTCCTGGGCAAGCCCCTCCCAGCCCAATCCACCTCTGCCTCTTTTTTGTTCCCCAAAACCCTCTTCTGCTCCATTCACCACCAACATCTACCTGAGGAGGCGGAAGAGGAGAAACAAGAGCTCTGCCCCTACTCCCTGAACCCTGTTCAGGACTCTGCAGTTCTTTGCTCCGCATGCCCTAATGCAAAAGGTAAGAGCAGAGGTGAGCCTTCCTTCCCTTCCCTCTCATAGGGAGGTTTAGTACCAGTTGCTTTTTGGTGGTGTCTTCCATTGAGGGCCAGTTCCAGACACCTTCTAAGAAATACTTTCTTTCCAAATCCCCACAGAATTTGGAGGGAAAAGGGAAGATGAAAGTATCTGATACCCTTAGAAGTGGAATAATTTGGCTCCTTAAAAAGCCAGGGCAGGGACCATCTTTGAAAACACCTAAGATAGAGAAAACAAACTCTGTTTTAGAGGCTGGGCTGAGTGAAGAAGCTGGAGCTCCCTTCATGCAGGTGCCAAACCCAGCCCTCCTCGCCTTCAGATCCCTGGGCGTCAGTCCGGCAGCGGCTCCCTGGGGGCAGAGGAGGGAGCTCCTGAGGAAGTACTTAGCAGGCGCTGCCTGACTCTAGCGGCACTAACGGATTCTCTTATCTCGCCGGGACCCTTGTCTGCAGATCGGCAAAGCTGCAAGGAGGTGGCAGGTTAAAAATACTCTGTTAGCAAAGAGGCTTAGGTGGGGGCCTTGCCAGGGGAATTACAGTGATGAGAGGCCTCTGAGGCGGGAAGTCAGGGACGGAACCAAAGCTGCTGGACCCTCCGCTTCTCTTGTGCCCCCTGTTTGAATTTGCCGCAATGATTGGCAAAGGCCTGTGGAGATGGAGGGATTAATGTTGCCTCTTTTCTAAGGCCTGGGGAGCCATGTAGCAAATGAGGACCATGGCAGTCACCTGGCCTCCCTCCTTCTCAGCCTGGAGCTTGGGCATCCTTGGCATGCCAGCAGATCTCTGGTGGGTGCACCCAAGCCCTCATTCATCTTATAGCTTATGTTCTCTTACCCAGGAAAAGGAAGTAAGTCTCAGAGGGGAGGAAATAATAGTACCCTGTGTTTAGAGAATGTTTGTACTGTGTCTGAGTGTTTCTACATAGAATACCTCATTGCACCCTCACAGCATGCCTGTGAGGTGAGGATTACTACCCCGGTTTTATATTTGGGGAAACAAGGCTCTGAGAGTTTATGAGACTTGCCCAAAGTCACACATCTAGGAAGTGGCAGCGTGGACTTCAGTAAGGGCTTTCTGATGTCCTCTCTAGGGCTCTTCCTGTATCCTCCATTCTCTCCACGATTTTGTTCGCCTTAACCCTCCCATTAGGAAAACAACAACGGGGCAGCTTTCGTCAATAGCCTCTTTCAACTTCATCTGTCTCAAAACCCCGCAAGCCCAGCTACCCCTATGTGGTCTGGGGCTGGTCCAACCCTAAGCTGGTCTTGGGGTCCCTGGTCTCCACTCCCTCAGGACCAGAAGGCAGCTTGAGCAGTGGCGTCCCTGCCTCACCTCAGAACTACAGAGTTCCAGGACTGAGAGCGGCCTCAAGCCTCCGGTGACTTCATCCTCTCCCACGTGGGCCAGGACATCTGGGTCTCATTTTTTGATCAGAGAGAACAAATGTTCTACAACTCCCATTGGCAAGCTGATTCAGTGCTTACTGTACTCCTCCCTCCTGCTCAGAAAGGTCCCCACTAAGGTTTGACTTCCTGCTACAGCTGAGGGCTCTTTCTTCCATACCGATGAACTGAGAGTTACTTCCCATGCGTAGGCCTCATCTCTAATTGTCCAAGGAGAGAGAACTCTGAAAAGGGAACCCCTCCTTCCCCACCACCCCACCTTTACAAAGAAATCATAAGGGCAGATTATGTTTCTCACATTAAACACAACACAGAAAGGAATCAACCACAATAGTGAGATTTTGAAAAAGGGAAAAAAATCTCGATAACATCAGCAACTAGTGATGGGAGTTCCATTCCCAGTCACAGATTTGCTACAACACACCTTCTCTCCGAGAGATTTCTGGCTTAGGTGACTGTCCTAAGAGCAGATGTTAGGCTGGCTTGGACCTAAGGCAGCCAACTGGTCTGCATTGCTGGAACCCTCAGCAGGCTCAGCCCACTGAGCTGGCAGCAGGGATCCCAAAAGACAAAAAGACATGATCATTGACCTGCAGGTACTTCCTGAAGATCCAATAAGGAAGGCATTCAAATACAGCTTGAATGCCTCCTGTGCAAAGTATGGTGCTATGCACAGAATGCTGAGTATGATCTAGTCTTTGACCTTAGCAGCTTGTTTTGAGAGGGAGCAATACAGGTAACTAAGAGGCTTAATGACAAATGCACATGGAGCAGTTTGGAAAATGCCTCTGAGTTCAAAAGAATGAGAGATAAAGTCCATGGGTTCCAGGGTGAGGAAAGGAAAATCAACAAATGTACAAAGTTTATAACAATGAAAACCGCAAAGAACACAGAATGAGAACTTCATGCATTGATGTAAGAATTAAAGGTGCCATGTGGAGTGGGAGGAGAGGGGAAACACATATTGAAAGAAACCTAGAAGGAAGGGTCTCTTTGTAAATAGATGGATTCTAAACCTCTGGTTTCGGTTCCTCACACTTCACCTGGCTTAGGCATAGCACTCCTTCCTCCTCACTCCAAACCATGAAGCTCTCAGCACAATGGAATTCTGTGTGTTGCTGCAACTCCGCACCTGAGTCTGCACCTGGGGCTACTGAATGAGAGAGGGAGTTCCCAAAATAGAGAGCAGAGCTTGGGGCTACGTTGGAATGTCAGTTTGCTGACTGCCAGCCTCTCTAGGTTGCTGGGGATAAGCATCAACTAGGCAAAGGAAATCCATGTATGATTTCCAAGCTTCACTTATCTCAGTGCTGAATTTTAACCTTATTCTCTCAGTAAATCTTGGACCACAGCTCCTAATGAGGACTCCCCTGACTATGGCGATTTTATATTTTCTGGAAGAAAAGGCTGAGAGGAAGAGAGGAACAGGAAGGGAGAAAAGAACACCAGGAAAATCTCTGCCCTCTCTCCCACACCCCCCTCACAGCAAAGTGGGCCGCTAATGCATTAATTAACTAAGTAGTTTTGAATGTACTCCATTGCACCTCATTGTCTGCAGCTGCCATTCCCTGGAGGAGCCATAATATGCTCAGTGCACACTATATAATTAAATATCAACACGTGTCCCCTGCCCAGTGCTGGGATGCGTATTTACTTGCGTTAATGAGAACCAGAATGGCCTTACTGATGAGAGGCCCATAGAGGTAGGAGGCAAGGAGCACGTCTCCTGAAATTGAGGTCCATATGCCCTAGCGCCCTGCTCTTCTTACTCCCCTACCACCTCCTCCCAATATCCTGTCCCCAGAAGGCCATCTCAGGACCCCTGGTGGAAGCTTTTCACAAGACCACAGGCCAAAGTGCCATCAGCTGCGCTCTTCCCTAACGGGAGTGAGCAGCAGCAGCCCGCACGTGGTGCATAATGACTATGTTTCTGCTTAATACAAATTGTGGTTATTTAGCAGCCCAAATACCAATTCCCTACTGAGATCCCTGTCGTTGAAACCCCACACACATACACAGACTCAGCAGACACAAACACAAGCACCTGCATGCTGACCCCCCATTTGCCACTCCTCACCCCACCCAACACAAATCCATTACAGAATTGCTCTCTGGCTTGGGGTCCCAGAGTTATTAATACTGAGATGGGTGACAAAGTGAATGTGCTATATGCAGCAGCTTGATGGAACCCAAAGGCAGGTCTTTAGAGTCAGAAGACTGTGGTTCAAATCCTGGTTTTGCTACTCATGGGCTGTGAAACCTTGGGCAAGTTCCGCAAGCTTCTAGGGCTTTCATCTACTTATGTGGAAAGTAGGGACAGCGATACCTACACCATTGGTGAGAACTAAAAGGTGTAATTTAGGAGAAGTGGTTCTCCTTAAATGTTCATATTTGTCTCCCTCTCTTTTCCCCTCTTCATATATAGCCACATCTGGATAGCGAGTAGAGGTATTCTGTCCAGAGAAGAGGAATGGACTATGAGGATGTAGCAATACCTTCCCTCAGATTTCAGTTAAAATACACACATTCCAATTTAAAACAGGGCACTAGAATGCAACAGGTGCTGATCTGTTTTGTTCACTGATGTATTCCTAACATCTAGGAGGGTGACCAACACATAGGAGGTGCTCAGGAAATATTTACTGAATAAATGAATGATATTCCATCTCTTATTCAATTTGTATAATAATGCCATGAGGGGGAGTCTATTGCCCCCACTTTGCAGAAGAACAAATAGGCTCAGAGAGCTTAAGTGCATTGCTCAAGGCATACAGCTAGCCTGGGATATAAACTCAGGTGTCTGCCTCAAATGTTCTATCTGCTGCTTTCAGCAGGCCCTCAGAGACTAGGGAGTCTCTAAAAGGGAAAATAAAGACAAAAAGAAGACAAAGAGTATGCGGGGTTTTTTTTTTTTTTTTTTTTTTTTTTTAGAATGACAGGTAGTGCTCCTGAGAGACTGATGGCTCAACACAGTTCTAATGAGCCATCTGTGGCCAGGTCATGCTATCCCAGTGAGACCCAATCTCAACCAGGACATGAGGCCAGAGAAACAGGACTTCTCAGCAGGCACAAGAAGCAGGACCTCTGGGAGTCAGAATACCAGGCTTCTCCAGGATCACGGACTCTCAACTCCACCCCCATATTCATTTCAAAAGATACCCTGCCCTTCGATGGTTTTCTATAAGGCCAAGCTGATCATCCACCCGGCTTGCACTCTTTTTCATGAACTCCCTAGAGAGGGTCTTGATTGTCCTCACTCTGGCCTGTGGATGCTCTCAGACCAAGTTATTGAACATGGAACAGCTGGGCTGGGGTAAAGGCAGACTCCTCCCTGCACTGAGCTCCTCTGTGTGCCCCAGAGAGAGCTCAAGGGAAAAAGAGGCTCTGAGGCTGACCTTTGGGAGTCAAGGGCAGGCAGGAGGTGACAGGCACACGTTGTAGATGCAGACAGGACACACATTCAAAAACCGATAAACAAGTGCAGATTAACGGAGTGATGACAAGACACAGGGAGAGTTCGGACGGGTCACACATGATCAGCAAGTCTGGACCATCAGCCTTGTCTGTGGGCATAACTTTAACTCGTCATGAATATTTCTCTGTCTTCCATGGCAGACTTGATGTTGCTGGGACCTAGCCCCAGGGCAAATTACTGCTGCACCCAAAAGTCTATTTTGGGTGTACGTGGCCCTGTTTGGGAATAAACAGAGCCCCTGTCCTAGAAGGTATGCCTGGTGGGCAAGTGGACAAAGGGCTGGAGCACCAGGAAATCAGAAGACTTGGATGGGAAAGTCACACTGGGGTCCACAGGGAGAGATTCTGGAGTGGAAGAAAGATTGGGGCAGAAGAAAAGAGACAGCATGTTCAACAGGTGAGAAAAGGGGCTTCTATCAGCAGACAAGATAACCAATCTGAGAAAGCCAGGGAACCTGGATTCTAGCCCCGATTATGGTGCAAATCAAGTATAGCCTTGGGCAAATCACTTATCTTCTACAGTCTTGAGTTTATAAAATGAAAAAAAAAAAAGATGACTTAGATTGGATGAACTCTAAAATCTGTATTGACTATTAAGAAAAAGTTTCAAAGTCCAAACTTAATGCTCCCTTCCTAAATGTCTAGACTTTTCTAGTCACTGACAACCACAGACACCAGGACCTCCAAGAACTTTCCCAGCTAGGCGTGGGGTGCTCTGTGCATCCCTCATTAGATATTCACCACCTCTTCTCAGTCCTCAGCCCCCCTTCATTTCCCCATATGCAGATGGCTTTGTTTTCCAAACCTGATAGATGCTGATAGGTATATTGTTCTCAGCATCACCAGACTGCCAGAGGCTGCTTAAGTCAAATGATTTTCTTTCCGCTAATAACTTGGAGGATTTTTTTTCTTAAAAGGCAAAAAAATAGGCCATTTTTAATGCCTCTATTTTACCTTAAAGAGACAGAGTGTCATTTATCTTCCTCTTAGCCCAAAGTCAAATGAAAGAAGCATTAAACAAAGACCAGCCTGCCTTGAAGCAGTCATTTGTGACTGGAGGCTGGGGAGAACTAGCATGGGCCTTGGGGACCATCTCCAGAGACTGGTGATTGACAGGCAGGGGGAAGCAGGGGCGGGTGGATCTGAACCACGGCCAGGAGGAGAGGCACAGCCACCCACAGAGGCAGGGGAGCAGGAGGCCCTGTGGGGCTGGATGCCTGCCAGAGCCGGGGCATGAGGCTGGCTAGCAGGCAAGAGCTGTCTGTGGGCATGTTCATAAGGGGCTAGTTCAACCAAGCACAAGAAAATGGAATGAATCCGATGTGATCAAAGCCCAATAGGTTTCATGGTATGATTTCATGACCCCAGTGTTATTCTGGCCTTTGAAGTAGGAATAAGTACTGTCAAAAATTGCCTTTTACCCTATAATCTACATTGTTTTTAATGAACAATTAACCATTATTGGTTGATGCATGAACCAACAAGTGTTTTAAGTGCCTCCGGAGTGATAAATATCCTGGCAGTATAAACAGAAATAAAATAAATAAAATAAAATAAAATAAAATATAGTCCTTGCTCTCAAGAATCCTACAATCCAGTGCAGAGAGCAAGACAGAGGAAGAAAAATAACAAGAAGTAATGCCAGTGAGCAAATGCTGAATATTATAGAGGATGGTCTTGCAGGAATTCAGGGATATCAGTGGAGGCTGAGGAAGGAAGACTTCCTGGAGGGGGTATTATTCCCAATGCAGGCTGTAACGAGTGGTAACATCTCATGATGGGCTCCAATCTGAACCAGGGGACATAGATTAAAGGTAAGTAGGTAAGCTTCCTTAGCATTTGATAAACTTGGGAAGAGGCAAGTTGTCCTTATCAAAGAAGAGCAGTGTGGTGGTAGTGCAGGGTGCCATGTTGGCACTGTCACAGCTTGAACCTGAAGGACTAGTGAGATTTGAGCATGCTGGGGAAGGGCTGGGGTACTTTCAGTCAGAGGAGATGGTGAATGCAGTAATGATAATAATAACAGTTAACTTTTACTAAATGCTTACTACAGCCCAGATACATTTTAAAGGTTTGATATGTACTCTATCATTTAATTCTCAAAATACATTTAATCCTCAAAATAAATTCTGAGTTAGTCCCCCATTGTAGCAGAAGGAAAATGGGGGCAGTAGGAGTTTAAGAAACTTGCCTAAGTTACCTAACCTGCTCGCTAACCTCTGATCTCTTTAACTATTAAATGTTGGTAATAGGCCTAGCAAGATGGCTCATGCCTCATCCCAACACCTTCATGCCTCATCCCAGTGCTTTGGGAGGCCAAGGCGGGAGGATGGCTTGAGGCCAGGAGTTTGACACCAGTCTGGGTAACAGAGTGAGACCCTGTTTCTGCGATAAATAAATTTTTAAAATTAGCCAGGCATGATGTGGCATGCGCCTGTAGTCCCAGCTACTTGGGAAGCTGAGGTGAGAGGATCGCTTGAGCCCACGAGATCCAGGCTGCAGTGAGCCATGATTGCATCACTGCATGCCAGCCTGAGTGACAGTGAGACCCTGTATAAAAAGGAAGTTTTTTTTAAGATGATAATAATAGCTCTTACCCTAATAGGATTATGTGGTGAGAATTAATTTAAGAAAATGCATATGATGCATAGTGCCTGGGGCACATAGTAGGTGCTCAGTACATCTTAGCAGTTATTACATTGGTGCAGAAGTAATTGTGGGTTTTGCCATAAAAAAAAAAAAGGCAAAACCCGCAATTACTTCTGCACCAATGTTGTGCAGTGAGATAAGCACAAAGCAGTGTCAAAATAGAGAGCTGGGGGGAAAACAGGCAAAAACCACAAAGACTTTTGCACCAACGTAACAGCAGCCTGAAGAGTGGCTCCAAAGGAAAGATGCACATATTGTTTGCAGACCTATGTGAAAACCACTGTTTGGGGCTCTGTTATTTGCAGAGGTAATGTTTTGGGTTGGAGGAAGTACTGTGGAATTGGAAAGGTTGGTGGGGTCATATTGTGAAAGACCAGGGATCCCTGGACTTTGCTTTGTAAAAAGTGTGTTCTGTTCTTCCTTCAATTTCTAGCTCTCTACTTTGACATTGCTTTTAAAAACAACTCCTAAGTACTTCCAAGTTACCGCTGCCCCCTCCTCTTCCATCTCCTCTGCCTGCTAGTTGTGCCCACAGCACTGCCCCCATCCGCAGATGACACCTGGGGGTCACAAGGGTCTGACCTCAGCTCTGGGCAGGCTGAGCCGAGCACATGCCCTGACACTTATCTCACCGCTGGAAAGCTTGGCTTCTGAGTTCTTGGGTGGCAACTATCCCAAGGAAGCTGCTTTCTCTTTATAACAGATTCTGGAGGGCTGAGGGAGCTGATCTCATCATGTCCTTGGATGGTACTATCCATCTTGGCAGAAGGGAGGGCTGAGAGTGCTCAGGCCTTACCTGGGAGTCCCTGCAGGAGCCTGCACAAAGCTGTTTTTTTGTGTTCAGGGGACACTTTTGGGCAGCATTAGAGAAGAAAGGAGTAACTGGGATACTCTGGGGACGGCTGGCTGGCTGCAGAAGATGGGTCCTTCTAGCAGCTCCCAGTGAATATGACTAATCAGTTCAACATCACAGAAAGAGCCCAGGCCTGAGAGGGAGAAGATTAACAGCGAGGTGACTGTGAGCAAGTTACTGCCCTCTAGGCTGGAGCTGCCTCACTGGCATATCTGAGAGGCAGTGTTGGGTAGTGATTAAGAGCAAAATCTACAACCAGTATTGCTAGATTGGACTCCTGGCTTTACCACTAACAAGAGCAGGGCTCTCAGCCTCTATAAGCCAAATGCCCTCATTTGTAAAATTTCCTTATTTCAAATCCTGTCGGTGCAAGATTAAGAGTTAATATATACAAATAAAGTACTTGGAACAGTAGATGGCACAGAAAACATTATGTGTGTTTACTAGTATTACGGCCACTAGTATTAATGCCTTTACTGCCATATCGAGGATGTTGGATTAGTGAGCCTTTGAAGGTCTCTTAAAAAGTCTGCAGTTCTATTTCCCTGCACTATGAGCCCCGTTTAGATTTCAGACTTAATCTAGCATTTGCTGAGTGCTTACTATATATGAATATATTATCTTATTTAATCCTTGCAACAAGCCCTGTGCATCCCATGTTATTATGTTCATTAAGAACTGAGAAAATCGGAGCTCAGAGAATCTAAGTGAAGTTCTCAGAATCACACAGCTAGCACACGGCCAAGCAGGATTCACCTGCAGTCCAGCCCAGCGTTCTTTCCAGTCTACCAGCAAGGGGACAAAGGATCAGTTCTTTGCTACCAAGCTGTCATATCTGTCCAAGAATAAGGGCCAAGGCTTCTGTTCCCAGCAGATCTCGTTCTGGGGCTGTGCATGCTGAGCCTGTCTCAAGGGTGAGTGGAGGATTTGCCAATGAAAATGTTACCAGCTGAACTAGCATTGGCCAGCCATATTGGGGCCAAGAAGGAGGAGAACTAAAATTAATCCTCTCATTACCAGTCTGACCTGCAGAAGGATGAGCAGCACCAAGCCAGGAAGAAGAACTCCAGCAACATCTGCTGCTGCTTGCTCGACTTTCATTTCCTCTGCCCCTCCTGGGAATGCCATGCGGGTACCAGGATGCTGAGATGTGGTGCATGTGCGCACCCCCACTCACACAGAAGCACATATGCTGGAGACAGAATTAGGAGCCCGCTGAGATAGCGCTTTGAAAAGAAGAGAAGTTGGTGGAATATGTGGGTTTTCTCCCTTGTGCCAAGTCCCCTCTGAGAAGGGTATTTGGATCAGAGGTAGAATCTCTGAGTCATGACGTGACTGGTTTTTGCAAATGTGTCTAGGCCACTTGCCTGGTCATGGAGGGGTCCTGCCCACTGGCAGACCTCAGCTCCTGTCGGTGAGGGGCTTTGAGTATGGAAAAGAGAGGAGTGGGGACTTGCTATGGCCTGGCAGCCAATGGTTGTGTGTGGGGTTGGGGGCTGGAGAGAGAAGGGCTAACTCTTTGGAAAGCCTGCCTGCTTGTTCTATTCTTGCAGAGGCGCCTGGGGGAGGGAAGGAGGAACACAGAAGGCAGAGTCATAAGGAGACGCCGCGGGTGGGGGTGGGAGGAGGTAAGGGCTGTGGAGGGAGGGAAGAAGGCATTGTCAAACTCTCTGGATGGTCATCAGCCAGATGTGGAGACCATATGGAGGAGGCAGGCTGGAGGTGTGCAGGGAGGGGAAGAAGACAAACTGAGGGGAGGAGACTGGGAAGGGCAGAAGAGGCAGGTGAAGGCTGCTGACCTAAGCCATCAGAGTGGGAAGCCGGAGGAGCTCCCATGCCCCCAATAGGCTGGTCCATGCACCAGGGCCACAGGGGTCACCAGGCACTTCTGCTCAAGGCTCAGCCCAGTTTCTCTGCTTTCAGTTCTGAAACTCAAACCCCACAATGCACTCCCTGCTCCACACTAGCCCTTAGGCCTTCTCTCCTCCTCATGTGTTCCCCCCACCTGTATATCCTCAAGTTCACGACTGCAAAGTGACAACAGTGGTGGATACAAGAGAAATTCCCCGAGGAAATGAGCTGGTGTTTCCTGGTCTCCCTCAATGCCTCTGGAATGCAAGGGAAATCGGATTTGGCCCCTGCTGATCTGATACCTCCCTGGTGCTGGGAACTCTGTCCAGCCCTGGCCATTTGCTGCCTCTGGGGGAGCTGGGACAGGTGGGAGCCAGCTGTTGTTAGGACTTTGCACACTAGTGGCTCGTGGGAGCTCCTGTACCCCTTAGAAAACAGAACTCAACAGCAGTGAGCAGACTGGCTGATCCTGCAGGAATCTTTGGGGGAGAAGGTATATGATGAGTGAACCGGAACACCTGGAGACCCTGTACCTGAAGAGCACTCAGGAGCTCCACTAAGGGAGGATGAGAAAGAAGGCTAAAGGGTGGAGGGGGAGAGGGCAGGGATGTGATAAGAACAAAGCGTGAGTCTTCCTACATTCCAACTGGGTCCACTCATCCCAGCTGAGCACCAGACAGTGAACTGTGGACTCCAGTATGGAATACAGCCAGTCACTGGGCAAGAGTCCTTCCTTTCCAGGGGAGGTCTCTTCTTGTTCCCCCACTGTATCCCTCCAGGGCTGGCACATCCTCTGAACATGGACACAAAGGCTCCAGCATTAAAGTAAGAAGAGATAGAGGCTACCTGGCCTGGAGGAAGAGGAAGAATGTAAAATGGCCTCCAAAGGATTCTCTTAGGGTAAAGGAGACCAAACTTTGCCTGTGTCCTGGACAGTCTAGGCAGTCTGATTGGAACTATGTTCTTCTTCTTGGACCAGTCCTTTGTTGAGAAGTCTGAGCTGGAGTCCTGGGGCCAGCTGTCTCCACAACAGGAATCACTGCTCCCCAGGGGAATGGGCTGGAAATCTGGAAAGGTCATCCATAGCCCCAGGGAGCAACAACCTGAGGCCCTGGTTGGCAGAGGTCAGGCTGGAGAATGGCAGTCTTCCTAAGAGAGTGCCTCAGAAAACCTGATAGCCAGAGAAAGAAGACAGGCTGGTTCAAACCATAGTTAAAAGATGCCTAGGGACTCACTAGGATGGTTATAGGGTTGGACACGGGCCGGCTTCCCATTGTGTGGTATCTTGGGGTTTTGTCTGAAGTGAATTGATGGATGGCTCAATTCTGTTTCTGTTGGAACCAACCAGCCTTACGTACCCTCCTTCTCTCTCATAGTTGTCTGGTGCTTTACAGTTTATAATAGGCTTTCAAAGTCAGGTTTGAGTTAAGGTCACAATAACTGTGAAATAAACAAGTAAGGAATTGTTGCCACTTCACAGATGAAAAAATAAAGGTCCCAGGATGGTGCTTCTAGCACTGGTTCCCATCAGCCTTTCCAGTGAGATGACAAGAGCTGGGTTAGACAGGTAAGCCCTGCAGAGGGGTCCCAGTGGCCTGCAACTAACTCTAGACTCATTCATTTCATTTCCACGGGCATGGGTAAGAAGAGGCTGTCACCCCTTCTTTACTCCTCAAATTATGCCTGTATCCACATCTGCCCTTACCTACCAGAGCAAGGAGCCATGGCCAACTTAAGCATGGGTTTCCAGGCTACAAACAACATTGCTACAGATTTTTTCTTGGGGTCATGAAGAATAAGATGCAAAATTAATGAATTACAGGGTCAGAGTTAGGTAGGTACAGGTTGGAAAAGCCTGGAGAAGAATGGAAAATATCAACAAGAAAAAGTCCCACAGTGAGAAACAGACAGTAAGGGGATGCTGTCCAGGTAGATAGAAAGTGCCAGGGAAAGAGGGTGATTTTACCCAGGGACATATAAGTGACTGAGGATGCAAGGGAAGGCCAGCTCCTACTGTGTCTGTTCATGTAGCCCATGCTGAACTAAAAGCTAAAACCTGGCATTATCTTTCAAAATGACACATCTGATTACGTCCCTCACTTGCTCCAAAGACCTTAAAGGGTTTCCCCTTGATAACCAAAGTCCAAACTCTTGAGCACTGACAGTGTAGCCCTAGCCTGCCTGTCAGCTGCTTTCCCTTTTTGCCCTACTCCCTTCCTCCTTGAGTCCTGGGATCCTCTAGCACTGAACCACTCATAGTCCCCTGAACCTGCTGTGCCCAGTTCACCACGGTGCCGGTGCCTTTGCACAGACTGCTTTGGCTGCTGCTAGGGAATGGCCTTTTGCCTCTTTCACAGCTCAAAACTCCTTGCATTACAAACCAAGCTCCATGCACACTTTTCTTTGATGGCTTTGCCGACTCTCCCAGACCTATTCATTCTGCCTGCTTTAGGGCCTCAGCACTGGATACATATTTCTGTCTTGGTACTATTCTATGATGTTCCAATTGTTCATACAAGGAAAGGCTGTAACTGTTAAACACTGTTAATTGTTAAAGGAAAGGCTGTGACTTATTCACCTTTTTGTATTTTTCCTACCTGATGCATTCAGAGTCCAGCATAGTGCCTATCTCAAAACAGATACTCACCAAGCAGAGGACTGATTAGCAAAACAAATTCTGGAACTAGACTGCCTGGTTTGAATCCCTACTCCACCTCTGATCAGCTGTGTAACCTTCAAATCTCTGTGTCTCTGTTGCTTCATTTGTAAATGGGGATAATAATTACAGATACCTCAGGATTATTTATGAGGATTAAAAGAGTTAATACATGCAAAGCTCTAGGACAGTGGCACTTAGCACTAAATGAGTGTTTACTATAATGATTATTATCTTTTGAATAAATGAATAAACAACATGGAATTAGCAAGCTGGTCACATTTTTCCTTAGTGACCTCAAGGGATCGCAGAAAGAGTATAATCTGGTCTAGAGGTGGGAATACAGTTCTGATGAGTGAAACATAAAACAACAGCCAGCAAAAGTCTAACCAATGGGCTGTAGAACTAGATAAGTGGTTCTCAACCGTGGTCCCCAGAGCAGCAGCATCTGCCCCACCTAAGAACTTGTTAGCAATGCAAATTCTTGGGGCCTGCCCCAGCCCAGTGCTAATGAATCAGAAACTCTGGGGGTGGGACCCAGCAATTTGCGTTTTAACAAGCAGTCAGGTGATTCTGATGCACTCTCAAGTCTGAGAATCACTGGGCTAGACTTTGCCCGTCTCTGGTTATCTGTGTACAGTGTGCACCTGGAGATTTCAAACCTCTTACTGCAAAACAGGGGCCTTACCCTGAGGACTTGAACAAACATTAGGCAGAAAACACTCCTGGTAATAGAAGATGATGTGCAATGCATTTAGCACAGCCTCTGCCATTCTATAGGAGCATAATAAGTGTCCATTCCTACCTTCTTTCCTCTTTATCCTACCGAGAGGAGAAAAAAAAAGAGCAAAGGTCACGCTCCCATGGCACTGTTTTTGTGGAATTCCTGAGCTCTTTGGAGTAGAGGGGAGGAGAAAGCTATGGCAAAGAGTTATGAGAAGCCTTGCTTTGAAAATTAATGTACACAATGTGCAGCCAGGTGCCTGTTCCCTACAGGGCATGGGGACAGTGTGCACAGGGACATTGTCACTTTCTGCTGAGCCTGAAGCTCAGCTAGAGGAACAGGTGGGGAAGAATGAGGGTGGGCCTAACTGAGGGAGGAGAGCTTGGCTGCAGCCCAGTGTTCCTGAAAAAGGTTTACACAGTGAGTCAGGCTGGCCCCAGCACCCCCTTGAGGAAGGCCTAAAATACCAAATGAAAGAATAAATCTTCAGGGGTAGGGGCGGGGGTGTTGCCTGCCTCTGCCTTCTCTCCAAGGGGTTCCTATGTGTGCGAGCTAGCAGCACTCCCCCATCTCACACTGCACCTGGGCCCTTGGCCTCCTTGTTGGGAACCCAATTTGGAAGGTATCGAATGAGGGACAATGTAAACACCTGTATCCAGGAGGATGCGAGGAGAAGAAGAGTTCCAATAACTCACCCTTAGGGGAGTGGTTTGCAAAATGTGGTACTCAGATCAACAGCATCAACATCAACTGGAAACTTACAAAATCAGCATTTGGAAAATACAAATTCTCAGGCTCCATCTCAGATCCATTAAATCAGAAATGCTGGGCGTGGGACCCAGTGATCTGTATTTTAATAAGCTCTGCAGGTGATTCGGATGCAAGCTTAAGTTTGAGAACAACTAGTTTAGGGTGTGGGTTGAAGTCTTTTTCTTGGTTTAAAGAGGAGGGACATGTGCTACCACACAAAGGGGCCTTCCCCCTTGCCCTAGCATGTAAGCCCTGACACACAGCATCCCCACAAGCATGACAGCACGCTGGGCCTGGGCTACGGAGAGTCTCTGGTGATGAGGACAGGGGCAGAGGCCCTGTGGGTGGTTATGGGGAGGAGAGAGGCGGGGAGGCTGCCACAACTCATTTTCTCTTAACATGAAAGCCCAGAGGAAGCCTAAGCATCCTCGCCATTGAAGCTGGTAAATTACAGGATGATGATGGTGATATTACCAATAATGATGATAATAGCACCAATAACGTGAGGTCAGACAGGCACTTTCCCGTCCTCGGTCAAGGGGTAAGGTTGCAGCTTTGGTGCATTTGCTTCTGATTTAGAGGAAAACCTGGCTCACAGCCAGCTCCATTTCCCTGCTAGGAGGTGCAGCCGGGGCTTTTGGCTCTTTGTCCTCCCTCCCTTCTGCCGGACCTGTCCTGTGGTCAGGAACCTCCTCCCTCCTGGCATAATGGTCTGCCAAGAGGCAGGCAGCACTCACTCCCCTTCTCCCCCACCAGACCAACCCTTGGTTCACAGACTACACGTCAGCCCTAGAGGTCAAGATCAGAGGGAGAGGCTCAACCTAGATGCTATCCACAGGGTGGGGCAGATGAGGGCCCTGGAGGCTCTATTAGCCTCTCTCAGATAAGCCACAAAGAGAAACTGGAAGGCAAAAACTGTGTGAGTGTTAGGGTAGGAGGCTTCAGCAAATCCATAAATACCTTGAGCTGAAGCCTCCCCTTGGAGATTCTGTACTCTCTCCTGCTGCCCAGGGAAGCCAGAGCAGGGATTCAGAATCTCAAGGAGAGAAAAGGTCATCTGGTAGCATCTTCCTTCTACAGTATCCCCTGCCACCCCCCAACCCCTGCCTAAGGCATCTTTCTTACTCTTCTTTGAGATTTCCCAGGATGAAATACTTCCCCAAATGCTACAGCATTTTCTAGGAGGATCAAAGGGAACAAGCAAATACCCAAGCCCTGGGTCTCTCCCCTCTGGCTGCCTCCTGCCCCGCCCCCACCCTGGGGCTTCAAACACGAGGAAATTAGCACAAGGCCCCCTGTCATCACATGCAGTGACTTGTGAACATGTGCTTGGGTTGTTCCTCCTCCACAACAGGCGGTTTAGAGCAGCTCACTGGGGGCTTGTATTTTTTTTTTTTTTTTTAAATAACTGTGTGTATGTTAAAGTCATTAAGGCTGGGAAAGGGGGTGGAGTGGTAGGAGAGTAAAGGCCATTATATGGGAGGAGAAGAAAAATGGCCTGTCTTCAGGCTGTCAGCAGAAGAAACGCCTCTGCATTCAAGCGGTGGGAGAGGGGCTCCGGTAGGAGGCCTGAGTGGGCACCTCTGCCGGGATGGCTGGGAGCAGGGGCAGAAGGCAGAGAAAACAGGTTCATCACATAGCCTGAGCTTTGGCTGTGGCAGTGGCAGTGGCTATGGCTGCCTGGGTATGGACTGTCACTATTCATTAAAGAGCCACCAAGAGAGAAGAAACCTGGGAAACAAAAACCCAAGAGCTCATGCTTAACTTTCATGTATCAGGCACCGCGTTACACCCTCTGCATCTGCTTTATGTTGAATCCAAACAACATTGGCATCCATCCTAGAAAGGCACTATTATTTACTCCGTTTGGCAGACGAGGAAACTGAGAGTCACAGTGGTTAACTTTACACAGCTAGCAAGGGGTGGAAGAAGTGTGGAGACACGGGTGAGTCTTCAGAGATTTTGTCTGAAGTTGTTGCCCCTCATGAGTATTCGCTGTCATTGCCCCACACCCTAAAGCAATCGAGGGGAACTGGGATGGAAGATATCCCAGGAGGGGTAAAAAGGACTGTGATGAGGGAAATGGGGGTAGGAGGGAAAGGGAGTAACCGCTATTGGCCCTGGCCATGTCAAGCTTCTGGGGTCTCCCCCTGCCCAAGTTTGAGAGGGGATGGCGGAGGCTGACTTCTCTGCGACCCCAAACTCCAGCCTTCCAAGCCTTCCAAAGTTCACTCAGTGAGAAACCTCTAGTGTCCAGGCTCTGAGCCTGTGACCTCTTCCTTCCTTTCAGATTTTAATTTGCTGGACTGGGAGACAAATGCATGTGGGAGGTTCTCTGGAGTGATAGGAACACACTGAGGGCTATAAGAAGCATCAGAGAGGCTTCATGCTGGCTGGGGCCCTGAGGACAATCCCATCTACCACTTCCCGACCCAGGTAGGCAGACCGAGCCTTTTCCTTCTGAGCAAGCCCCTTTCCAGGCACTGCTGTCACCTCCTAAGGCTGAGGAGGGTGGTGGCAGGAGGGTGCAGGGAAGGCCCTGTCTGTTCTCTGGTCTTTCCTTCAGGGGGCCAGACCCTGAGGGGTGCAGCCTAGTTCCCCAGAGCACATGCTCCAAATCACAGCTCCAGTGACAGCTTTTGCTTTCCCAGTGAGGGGGCTAGCTCAGGAGATGAAAGTCTGATCCCACTGGCAGCTCCACAGGCTTCCTTTGCCAAAACACACTGTGAAAAGACCCCTGACCTCCACCTCATACTTTCTCTGCTCCACCTCCCGTCAGCCCTGTTTGCTTCCCTCCTCCCTAGAGAGGGTTAGACAGCCCAGTAATTTAGGGATCACTAGCAAGAAAGGTGCAGAGGTCAGAAGTCAGAGAGGGGCTGGGAGGGGAATCTCACCCCTGCTCTCTGGCAAAACCTCCCACCTCTTTCCGCCATCTGTAGACCAGGCCGTTGTGGGCCCGAGTTCACTGTGAAGGTAGGGATGAGGTCCAGGGATGGGAAGTGGCGGAATACAGAGCGATAGGAGGAGAAGCTGTAATTTTAAATTATGTCCAGAAAAATAGCTTTTGGGAGGCAAATGTTCTCCTCCAACTTTCTTATTTTGAAATTTTGCTAGGAAAGAAAATGTTACACTCCCCTGAGACCGTGTCCCATTTAGGAAGTTCTTTCTATTATCTCATTTCAACTCCTCCCTGCTCTAGCTGCTATACAAACAAAGGCAAATTGACTTAGTGTCTCTCCTGTCTCTTTCACCGTGGCCTGTTCAGTCTAGCTCAGCTCAGCTCAGCTCCAGAGCTTAGAACTCAAGACAAAAGGAATCAAACCAGTAGAAGGAGATGAGCAATGGGTTCATCTCTCTTCCTTAAGAAATCAAAGGCCGGGTGCAGTGGCTCACGCCTGTAAACCCAGCACTTTGGGAGGCTGAGGCGGGCGGATCACAAGGTCAGGAGTTCGAGACCAGCCTGACCACCATGGTGAAACCCCATCTCTACTAAACATACAAAAATTAGCCGGGCATGGTGGTGCCTGCCTATAATCCCAGCTACTTAGGAGGCTGAGGCAGGAGAATTGCTTGCACCAGGGAGGTGGAGGTTGCAGTGAGCCCAGATCGCGCCACTGCACTCCAGCCTGGGTGACAGAGTGATACTTTGTCTCAGAAAAGAAAAAAAGAAAGAAAGACAGAAAAAAGAAATCAGAACCACCAAAAAACTGCAAGAGAATTTTTTGGCAGTTCCATAGCTACTGAAAGCGTCTTGCTCTGCCCATGCGAGTGGCAATGTTGGGACACTGCATTCATGGAATGGAGCTCCGGAAGGGCCTTATGAGGCCGTCTCCTCATTTTGCAGATAGGAAAACTGAGGCGTATTTGCCATCACTCTGCTTGTTTGTAGCAAAACAGGGGCTCTCCTGCTTTCCCCTGTAGTTCTGAGCAAGAAAAGGGGTTTGAAGGGCAGCCTTTCAGCTGGGCAGAGCTGTGCGGGGAGTTTGCATCCAGTACTGCTGGGTTCTAGCCCATTCCTAGGTTGGGCAGCTCAGCCTCTCCTAGAGGAGACTCTGGCTGCTGAGTGACCCGGTGAATTAATGCAGCTTCTGGCTAGGGGTAGGGGACAGTAAAAGCCAAGGAGCCAAGATCAGAAAAAGGAATAGCTTCTTCCCATGTGGAATCAAGCTGGGGCTGCCAACCTCCTAGTCAAGAAAGAAAGCTTTTCCTCTCTCTTCCTCCTGTTTACCCACAGCGACTGGGGGAGGCTGTACAGAGAGGCAGGTTGAATGTATTCAGTCTGGGATAGGGAGGGAAAGTTCCTCTGGGGCTCCCCCTTCGTCTAGGGGAGAGGTCAGAAGAACAAAGGTCACAGATGGACCTGCCATGATATGGGAGGAGGCACATGTGTTGCAGTGAGCCATGGAGGGTGGGGGCACAAGAGTTTGGCAACTCAGACAGGGGAGAAGCCACTGATGGCTTATAAACCAGACAAGGTTCATCCTGAATCCGGAGGGAGGGCAGTGAGAGCCCCATGAACTCACTTTCTTGAATGTCACTAACATTTCATTTCACCCTCACTCTGCCTTCCTGTCTCTTTTTTTCTCTTTCTCCCTTAACCTTCCTCAGCAGGGGATGGGGGAGTAGAGGGAGCCGGAAAGGAGGTCTGCAGGCCTCGTTGACTCTGCTGACCATCCACAGCCAGGAGCTGTTGCTGACAGAAAAGAAATGAAGGGGCAGAGATGGGAGGGAAACCAGATGTCCGCAGTTGCAGCACCATTCTGCGCAGCGTCCCCACTGGGGTCCCTGCTGTAGACGAGAAGCCAGAGCCAGGTGCCAGAGAGGGAGAGGGGGGGGTCTTTGGGGGTGGGGGACGGTGCTGGGCCCCACTCCTGCTTATCTACCCCTCAGTTTCTTTTACCTGGGAAACAGATCACCAAGAGAGGCCCGTCTGATGCTTTAAGCTGGGAATTTGGTTTATTCTGGGGCAGATGAAAAAGAAATTGCACTGTAGCATCTTACAAAACTGCCCCCTTTTCAACTGGGACTGAGAGTTGGAGACTTTTCCTTTAGGCTTTCATGGTACCCTAGACTTCTAAGTTATTTCTACTTCATATTCTAGAACTGTACCATCCAGTGTAATAGCCACTAGCCACAGGTAGCTATTTATCCTTATATTAATTAAAATTAAGTAAAATAAGAAATTCAGCTTTTCAGGCACACTAATATATGTCAATCTCTCAATAGCCACATGTAGCTAGTGGCTATTGTATTGAACAGCACAGATATAAAAGTTTTTTCTCATCACAGAATGTTATCTTGGACAGTGCTGTTCTAGGAAGTTTTTACTCAAGTGTAACTTTCATTCTTGATTTCCCCAGATGTTCACATGATAGCCTGCTCCTTAGGAATGAGGGCTAACTGGCCCAGAGGATAGATGTGGGGTGGGTTGAGACAGGGAGGAGGGAAGGGACGGGTAAGAATGTTTATTCTGCCAACCCGAAGGTTTTCTTTAGACTCTGAGTCTCTTTGCCAGTCCTAAGCAATTTAACTTGCCTGGGGAGGAAGGGGGACGCTGTCTGTAGCAAAAGAGGAATTCAGGTGGTAGCTACAGCCAAATAGGTTTTGCAATCATATTCTGCCTCCCTTCTCCACCCCCTGCTTAAAAAAAAAAAAACCAAGGAAAGTATACCAAGGCCAGCCCTAGATAATGTGGGTGTGGTGTCATTACCCTGACTTACTCATCACACCCCAGGGCCTCTACAGGGTTGGGTGTAGGCAGGGATGGAAGGGGCACACAGGCTGGGGATGAAGCAAGCAGTTATGCTT